>NC_000001.11:238456848-238608364 GCF_000001405.40 Homo sapiens
GGAATAACAAATGGAAAAACAATCTTTAAAGAGATAGGCTTACATATGTTTCTACAAATAGAAAAGTGTGTTGAAATACCAACTACCTAGCATACCAAATATTCTTTGATAATTACTAAACATTAACGATATATAATAGGTTGCATTTTAAAAATAAAATTCTAAAGCACTGTTTTCACGTTTCCTTAAATGGATAGCATTCATTGTAGCCAAGTGTGTATTTGCTTAAGAAGCTTAATGTGCTGAGGGAAAGTAGCTCCTTTCCAAATCTTGAGCTTTGATTTATCTACAATAGTAACCAAGAGAGCAAAAATTAACTTGTGTATGTTAATCCCAATAAATTAAAATTGACAGTTTTCTATGCTGATATGTTAAGAGCCTACTTTCCTTTCCCATCTAAGCTCAGACATGCGAGCTAAGCAAACATGCCAAAATTGCTAGTCCCGTAAATCTGGACGTTACTAATGAATAAACCGTGATCCTTATAGCAAGGTGAATAAACCTATTTATATTATATTATATTATATTATATTATATTATATTATATTATAGAGGAACATAAGAATAAATATAAATCATAGACTGAGAGCATAACCTATTCTAGAACACATTATTTTCAAGTACTCTGGAGGAATTTTAGTTCAAAGAAAAGCTAATGAATATTAGATATATCGTTTGATATTTTAATTTAAATTCAGCATATGCACTTTAATAACCAATGAAGGAAGTAGGCTTACTTCAAGATATTACATGTTGTAAAAATAGGTAGGTATTATTTTAGAAAGTCAAAGGAAAGTCCCATTTCTTTCCATTAAGCAGATCAGGAAAAGGATATGATGAAGGAAGAACCTGACTAGTACAGATTACTTCAAGAAGACATGTTGGTGCCTGTTGCTTCTCTCCCTTGTCATTTGAGTGTTAAAGGAAAATGTACTAATCTTTTTTCCCTCAAATTTAATTGTACAGATTTGCATCTTTGAGCCAATATTTGTTCCAGGCAACAAAAGAAAATTGAAATAACAAATGCATTACTGTCTCAAGAAGATTACATAATACCTAGAGTTGATGAGTAAGAAAGATCAAAGATAACACAAGACACATCTTATACTAATAAAGCATTGGCAAGTTTAAAGAAATAATGAAACCTTTGGAATTTATTATTAGAAGTTCTCAAGAGCTAAATCAACATTTTCTAACATAAAATTTGGTTGTTCTGAAAACACACAAAATCAAAAGTCTGTCTAGAACACTCTCAAGAAGTGAATTAGCATCCTCCACACAGAACTCTGTGCTCTTTAGGGATATAAGTAATCAATTTATCTTCTGTTTACTTGTGAATGTATTAATTATTTACTTAGTTTTCTGTCTCACTGAAAGAATCATATTTCCTCTTAGCAAATCTAAAATCACTTTACCTTTTGTTTTGACCTGATTCTTTCTGTCACATAAAAAATATTTATTAGCCTCATATGTTCAATATATGTTAGCACTGCTATCTATCAGAAAAGAAAAACAAATCCCAAACCATTATTCCATTTTTTTCACATGATTTCAGGCCATGTCCAGAATTAGGAAAGTAAGAGTTTGAATACTGTACTTTAAATCAACTAGAACTGGAATAACATTGATAAACATACAATTAGATTATATTAGGTTCTTGACTCGCCAAAAATACCCTCCGTAATAAATATACAGAAATAATTTTATACTTTGAACATCTTATATGTCCTTTACATTACCTTTGCTGTTTCCATAAGCTATATTTCAATAGCATGCATATTGGAGTCAACTTTTATTATGTGAGAAGAATCAGATGCTTAATATTAAGCAAATGTATTACTTGAAGGAATTTTATAGTCTTTCAGGCAAATAGTTTTTAATTTAACCCCCCAACAAGACTATTAAAAATTAAGAAATGTAATTTTCCATTCTTACCAAGAAATACTGATATTTGCCAGCAAATACGTGAGTAAATACCAGGGTTGCTGAATTGTTTGTATTAACAGCATTTTCAGCAAGCATTGCTACAGAGATGTTTCAGGCAAGAAAACATTTCTCAGCAGCCGAGCATTTTTGAACTTGCCCACACTGCTTACTCTATTCTACAGGATCCTATGGGAGAAGGAGTGTGTATGAAAAAGATAATTTGAAACTATTGTAAGTGGTACAATGGAAATAAATTCAGTTGGAACTGGTTCATTTCAACATTAAGCAGGCTTCATGGGGTGCTTCCTCAGCGACAGAAAAGATTGCCCAGGGAACAAAGCCTCATCACAATGCTGGTAAGGGAAAAGCGTTTCTATGCTACAAAGCTGCAGCTGAAGTATTTACTGGTCGAGAGAGGCAACTTACCTTTCCTAGAGTCAAGGAAGACATCTGTTTTTCTACTGTAGAAAGCAAGCATTAAATTGCCTAGTTACTCTCCGGTTAGCTGAACATCTGGCATCAGTTGTATAAGTTGATCAGAAATCATTTGTTTCTCTTGGTCAACTGTTTCACATACTCGAAAATGCTTGATAGTGCCAATGTCTGAGAGAGTATTTGAGTGACAGAAAGCCATTTCTTGACCAGAACAGCCATGGCACTAGTAGATATGTTACTGTATAGATGTATATCGATATGTTACTATATGGACATACAGCTGACCCTTGAACAACGTGAAGGTTAGGGGCTCCAACTCCCATGCAGTAGAAAATCCACGTATAATTTTTGACTCCCCAAAAATGTAACTACTAATAGCCTACTGTTGACCAGAAGCCTTACTAATAACATAAACAGTCAACACATAGTTTGCATGTTATATGTGTTATATTATTATAAGAAAGTGAGCTAGAGAAAAATAAAACATTTTTAAGAAAATCATAAGGAAGAGAAAATATATTTACTATTCATTAAATGGAAGTGAGTCTTCATATACATCTTCATCCTTGCTGTCTTCACATTAAGTAGGCTAAGGAGGAAGAGGAAAAGGAGGAGTTGGTTTTGCTGTCTCAGGGGTGGGAGAAGTGGAAGTGGAAGGGGAGGGAGGAGACGCAGGCACATTTAGAAGTTTTATTGAAAAAAAAATCCCCATGTAAGTGAACCTGCACAGTTCAAATCCATGTGGTTTAAGGGTCAACTGTTCTGTACGTCTAGAAGAATCACTAGTGAATATTGGGCATGCTTTATCTTATAAATAAAGGGTGGGGGAGAAAAAACACAAACCAAGGCCCATTATGTTAGGCTTTTACAAAATGCAAATCTGTCTTTTCATTCAGAGTTGCTTCTAAGACCCTTCTCCGAGCGTGTCCCTTTTACCTGCTCTTGTTGCCCAGTACTGTCAGCCATAGTCCTCTAAGAAGGCAGATTGAGGTGCCTTCTTATTCAGAGAGATTATTCATGTGATGATGGGCACATGCCAATTCTTATAGGCATCAGATAAAAAAGTAGAAAGAGAGAGAAATCCTGAAGAATTAGTGTCCTCACTTTTGCAAACCAGTATTTTTAAAAACTTAAAGGAGAAAAGTTTTCACCAGTAAACTCTGGTCCTTTCCTACTTTGTATTGATCGCAAAGAACATTCAATTGGAAAGGCAATCAGATTTTATTCAGTGGCCAAAGAATGAAAAGGAGCTTATGCTCCAAAGGCACCTTCTCCCCGGGCAGTGGGAAGTATGGGAGTTTTAAAGAGTTGGATGCAGGTTCGGGTAGGAATGTAAGTATGTACAGGGTGGAGTTCCAGATATTCAGGTCTAGTTAATGACATGCTTCTTCATACATCACGTGTACACAAAATGGCAGCAATCTTCTATTGGGGAAGAGCTTTTTGGTATTATAATAATATGTTAATGATCCAACAGTAACTGAAGGTCACCTTCTCTGGTGTGCAGCAATATCTAGCAGGTCTGGACGTTTGATATTTCGCATGGGGTCAGGAGAGTTAGGCAGTTTCTGGCATTCAGGCCACCTGGTTTCCATAAACGGCTGTGTCTATAGATAAACAGACTAAAGAAAAACTGTTAAAGTTTTTCTACAGTCTCTGCTCTGGTTTGTCCCAGTGACAAGGTTAGGTTTGACTTTACTTAGGATTTGCTTTAAAGTTTCATTGCTGGTCATTTGGGGACAATAAATAACCTTCCCGTCGACTCTGGCCTGAATGAATCTAATAAATAAATAAATATTGGAGTTTATTTAATTTAGTTTTTTTATAATTTATTTTTTTGAGATGTAGTCTCGCTCTGTTGCCCAGGCTGGAGTGCAATGGCATGATCTCAGCTCACTGAAACTTCCCTCTCCAGGGTTCAGTGATTCTTCTGCCTCAGCCCCCCGAGTAGCTGGGACTATAGGCATGCACCACCATGCCTGGCTGATTTTTGTACTTTTAGTAGAGATGGGGTTTCACCATATTGGACAGGCTGTTCTTGAACTCCTGACCTCGTGATCTGCCCGCCTCGGCCTCCCAAAGTGCTGGGATTACAAGCATGAGCCACCGCACCCAGCCATTTATAATTTGTTATTCTTTTCAATTGCTAATTGCATTTGCCGTAAATTGCACTTATCTGCAAAATTGATGGCTATTATAATTTATTTTTGAGTTTAGGAGTGGAGGTTTAACAGGCAAAAGAAAAAAAAGGAGAACAACCCTCTCTCTTCCAAGAGAGAGGGGCAGCCAAATGGAAATCTGGCAATTATAATTTTTAAAAATGTATCTATCATATTTTGGACACCACTACACACCAGACACTGTGACAGGTCCTTTGCATATATTTCCTCTAAGCTTCTTAACAAAAAAATTAGGTAGGTATTGATAACCTCACTTTAAATATCATAGGCCAACCAGGAAATTGGTTATTAATTTATGTATTCATGTACTTCTTTCATTTATATTAATTTTTTTTGTGATAGACGAGGGATTTAATAGGAAACAAATGTTTGTCTTCATGAGGTTTGCATTGTTGTTTTTGTTGGGAAGCAGAAATAACTCATAGTCAAGCAAATGAAATAATTACAAAATATAATAAAGGCTGTAGAGGAAATAAAATGGAACTCAAAAACTTTAATGGGAGCAACTTGTTAATATGAAAATGTTTCATATTAACCCATTTTCATATTAACAAGTTAATGTTCATATTAACAAGTAACATTTAAGGGAACTAATAAATTGATAGCCAAAAAACAGGTTGATATGTAATTTGGGGAGAAGGAAAGTATAGGCAATGTAAATAGCATGGACAAAGACCCTGACCTATACAAAAGCATGGCAACCTCAAACAACAGAAAGAAACCCAAAGTGGGTGAGGAAGAGTGGCACACTATGAGGGATTATTAGGATAGTAGGATGTGCTGTCAAGCCGGGCCCTCTAGGCTGTAAAAGTACTTCAATTTACTGAGGCCTTAATTAGGACAATGCTATGGTCTTATTCAAATTTTTAAAAACATGGATCTTGCTACTTGGTGGAAAATAGCATGACACAATCATGAGGTTAGAGGACTTACTAAAACAAGGGCCTAGGAGCAGTCCTTGAAGAGTAATGTCATGTAAAAGTTGGATGGAGTGGAGAACAAGGGAGTATCAGGAAGAACAGGAAACAGAGGTGACATTAAGACCAAAAATCAATAATATTTTAAGGAAAGAGTGGTCATCTGTAACATTATGCTAAGGTCACATAATAGTAAGATAAAACAATTTACAGTAATCTCCCCTTCCCCAAGGGAAATACGTTCCAAGGCTCGAAGTGGTGACTGAAACCTTGGATAGGACCAGCCCCAGTGTACACTATGTTTTCTTTCAATCTGAGAACCAAGAGAGCTGCTAAGTGACTAAGGGGAGGATAGCATCTAGAGAGTGGATCCACCGGACAGAGGTAGTTGACATCCTGGGAAGGACAAAGCGGGACAGTGAGAGATTTCATCATGCAAGTCAGAACAGAGTGGAATTTAAAACTTAGGAATGGTTTATTTCTGGAATTTTCCATTTAATATTTTCAGACCATACTTGACCATGGGTAACTGAAACCATGGAAAGTCAAATTGCAGATGAGAGATATGGGGGACTACTGTGCATCATCAAAGGTATTTTTACAATGAGAACATCAGTTTCAGAGACTTGAAGGTGTGCGTCTGGTAAGGCACAGCCTACTCCCATAGGATAGGATCTTCTTTACTACCCACACTGCACATGATCCCCTCCCAAACCCCGTCCGACTTACCACTTGCTTTCTTGGACACTCCTGGTACTAACTGTGGAGTGCTGGGTTCTTTGGAAATTGAAGCTGAGATAGAGTTAGAAGTGTAAAAGATTTATTGGAGATCAAAGCTCCATCTTTCATCCCTCAGAGAGATTTTTCTTTCCTTTCTTTCCTCCCTCCCTTCCTTCCTTCCTTCCTTCCTTCCTTCCTTCCTTCCTTCCTTCCTTCCTATCTTTCTTTGTAGTGATGAGATCTCGCTATGTTGCGCAGGCTGGTCTCCAATTTCTGGCCTCAAGCAATCCTCCATCCTTGGCCTCCCAAAATTTTGGGATTACAGGCAGGAGCCACTGTGCCTGGCCTAGAGAGATTATTTCACTAAGAAAATTAGAACAAATAAGAAGAGAAAAGAACTAGTTCATTTGTCCACCATCAGCATAATCAGAGTTAGTTTTTTTTTTCACTTTGCTGGTGGATCATTTCTGTTAAATAATAAATAGTGCAATGTCTACCAGTAATTTTGTTTTCACACTTGGTGCCCGTATACCTCTAGTTTTTTCCATATTTCTCCTTTCCCTTTGGAAAAAAATGTCACCAAATGTGTCACCTTACACCTGACTTTCCTCCTACCCTTCCGAGTCCCTTACATCTCCATTCCTCTAAAATGTAGGTGTCCGATGTGGTAGCCACTAGCCACATGTATCTAATTTGATTTGAAATAATTAAAATTAATCATATTTAAAGTGAGGTTCCTGAGTCACCTATGAATCACATTTAAAGTGTATTTATGGCTGGGCACAGTAGCTCATGCTTGTAATCCCAACACTTTGGGGGGCTGAGGAAAGAGGCTTGCTTCAGGCCAAGAGTTTGAGACAAGGTTCAACATAGCGAGACCCCATCATAGTGACCTCAACATAGCGAGACCTCATCTCTACAAAAAATAAAAAATAAAAATAAATAAATGAATCAAGTGCATTTAATTACCCCATGTGCCTAATGAATGCTCTATTGCCCATTTCTGTCACTGCACCAAATTCTGCTGGACAGTTCAGAATATCACCTACTCAGAATCTCAACTGATATGTTATTAAAATACCCACAGCTAATCCATCACCATCAGAAGTCTGTTTACCCCTTCGTCCAGATTGTCATGGCATCCCTATCTCATTAAATGGCACCAGCAGCTACCCAGTTATTCAACACGCCCCTCCCACAAAACAACAACAACAACAACAAAACAGGTTTACTGTTGTTTCCACTTCCCCACTTACCACCTGACATTAAATTTATCAGCAAATCTCGGGAGCTCTACCTTTAAAACATATTCAGCATTCAACTAGATCTCATTAACTTCATAGCCAAAATTTGAATTAATCTACCATTATTCTTACCTAATAACATTCTCATCTGCATCCATTCTTCTGTTCTCTTCTATACTCTTTTTCATACACAGCAGCAGAGCGATCTTTCAAAAATGTAAATCAAACTACATCATTTGCTTTTTCAAAACTCTCCAAAGGTTTGCCAGCATATTTGGGGAAAAAAATCCAAACTGTGCACATAGGTTATAAATTCTACATAAAGTTGTCCTTTCCTAAATTCCAGACATCTTATGCCACATGCGAGCTCTTGCCCAGCCTTGTGGGCTTTCTGTTGGTTCCTTTAACACTTCCTTGCTTAGGACTTTTGGGCTGGCTCTTCTCACTGCCTGAACTTTCTTCCCCTGAACTAGATCATTATCTAGTTTATTCTTTTATTTTAATTCAGTCTCTGTTTATATATTGTTTCCTCAGAGTGGTCTTCCATGAGGACACCATGTAAAATAACATTTCCTCCATTTGGGTGGGTAGCTTCACATTAGTTTACCTGTTTCATTTTTCTTCTTAGCACTCATCACTTCCTTCAGTTATATTTCCTTATTTACTGCCTATCTCTCACACTAGAATGCCAACCCAGAAAGAACTGGAACTTTCCCTTTCTCATTCAGTGTTGGCTTATAGTATGTGCTCCATAAATATCTGTAGCATTACTGAGTGAATGACAGCGTTACCATGGGATTTTAGAACCCCGGTGAAAGTATAGAGGATAGTCCAAGGAGACTTGCATCCTTGGGATTTTGTTAGACTATTAACAAAATGAGGCGTCAATCTGATTAATGCTAAAAAAGAGAAGATCAGTTCCTTTCCTGTTTGTCTGGTATAGCTTTGTGTTTCTTATTCTTACATTTTTCTAAATTTTATCTTATTAAATATTGACAAATTATAATTCTATACATTTATGGGATACCAAGTGATGCTTTGATATATGCAGATAATGTGGAAGAACTGGCCCAAGCTAATTAACATACCTTCCACCTCACCTACTTACCATTTATTCATCCTTTCTGAAACTTTGTGTGCTTTGAGTAACACTTCCCTATTCTCCCCACCCCCAGCCTCAGGTAACCACCATTCTCTTCTCTGCCTTTAAGGATTCTTTTAGATTCCACAGATTTACATTCCAAAATAAAGGTGTCCGTGCTTTGGACTCAAGGCCATATACAGTGTGTTGTTGTTTTAAATAAAAACACTAGAATGGAAGCAGTTGTTATAACTGATGAATACCAGATGTTACATTTCTCACTAGTCTGTAAGACCAGACACACAAAGACCTAATTATGTCCCATCGCTTCGAGCAGTGTCTGACTGTTTTACCCATGAACAACATCCTACAGGGATCTCCCTGTGAATAGCAGAAATTCTAAAGAGTTAAAAACTGCTGAAGTTAGAGGGAACTATTTTAAAAATATTTTATTTTACAGTGATAATTATTATTATAATGACAATGCTGTCCATACCTTATTTTCAACATGTATTATTATTAGTAGCAGACAGAGCTTTGTGTTTATGCTCACTTAGAGTCAGGTTGCTTATTTAAAATAATCTAGACCCAAATAATTAGATAGACTTCTACATTGTATTGTCTATAGGAAAGTTAATTACATCCATCCAGTGCGCACGTTTATTATTAGCTGATAAAAAGGAAATGGCAAAGGGAAATTGAATTTTTATGCATAAATGATTGCTAACAATCTAGAGGATGTGAGTGAGATTTAGGATTCTTGGCTTCTTCCAATTATTTTCTCCAGTTTCAAGATTCTAGAATCATTCATTTTCCTTCTATTACATTACTATTAAAAAGCAGACTTTAGTAACCATTTATATTCAATGGTTCATTCAACAGATAAAATAAAGATGAGTTTACTTTAAGTATTATTCCATTTTTCCATCCCCGAGACAAAATAAAACAAAACATGAAAAGAATATAGACATTCCATAATGTCAAATTTTGTTTTTAAGTTTGAAAAATGCTTTGATATTTATGGCCTGAAACCCTCATTACCACTTGTTTAATATGTGTCAACTTTTATTTTGTATGAGGAAAATCACTTGTTTAGTTTAGAACTGATTTAATATAAGACGTTGAAGCCCTGTCATATGATAGAACTTGGGAAAATAATCCATTGAATATTTTTTACAGAGCATATAGGTGTTAAAATGCAGAACCAGAAACACATTAGATTTGAAACTTAACATGCAAAATGAGGATATTTGTTTTTCTTTCTTAAAGCTACAGTTCAGAGCTTGGGAATGCTAACAGATGACTCACTCTTAGAGCCATTGGTTCTCGATTTTCTCCCCCAGATTAGATGTCTCGAATTATACTTGCAGTTTTATGGCTCCCAGTGTTTCAGTCTTTGTTTTAGCTGTATTGTGCTTGGAATGTCAAATTATTAGGACCCTGAATAGTAAATCATCGGGGGGAACCTTCGCCTGATGCACCATTGTCTACAGTTTAATTACCTGCCATACATGGTAGAAATTAGAATGAGAGCTTTACCTGCTTAAGCCTTACATTCTAGCATTTAAAACTTAGTTAAGATGGAACCTAAAAAGCACAGAAATAATGCAAATGTGAGAATCATGTAGTGACAACTCCATTGTAAAGCTTCTTACCCTACCCCCACGGGTAATACTATACAAAATGCATAAAGCTCATGAAATGCATACAACAGTTTAAAACTTTTATACAGATAAGGATGTTGCGTTAGGAAGAGTCCTGAAACAAAGTCAGAATCCCTGGGGTCCAGTTCCATTCCTGCTTCTGAAAGGGTATATGGCTGGGTAAGATGTTAAGCCTTTCTTTCATAAACTTACTTTATGAAAGAAACTTTCATGAAAACTTTGTTTTCATATGAGCTGTGAGTTTTCACATGAGTAAAATAAAGGGGGTGACTAGATTTCCCCAAAGGTTGTGATCATTTTTAGAACCTAGTGGGTACATTTAACTGAGCCCGAGGCTGCACCTGTGCTATCAAGAACACAAATGGTGGAAAAAAGAAAATGAATACAATCTTGGGGTTCTCCTTGTGACATAAAAATGTATTTCAGACTTGGAAAAAGATAAAACGAGGCTAACAATATATGTTTTTTATAAAGTTCATGCATGTTCTGATAAGTCTGCTTGTGTGTCATCTGATATTTGTTGTGACAGTTAATTTGGCCAACAGTCCATAGTCAAGGTTAGAATTTAATCTGCAGAAATTTATAAAATGCTGTGATTTCACAATCTGTAAAAAGTCAACCAGTCTTCTAATTTAGCAATTTTGTTTACACATCCCTTACACAAATGACTATATAGATCTCAATTTTTTCAAATGCTGTTGGATATTCCCCTTAATCTACCCTCTGGTTCTTTCATTAATGAGTTACATAAAGTGTTGACAAGCACAAACAAATACCTTTTTGCTTGAGAACTGTACTTTATCAATATTCTGGATCCACTTTGCACCAAATGCCATTTAGACTCTATTCACTAAATAAATTAACCTATTGTCTTAGCATAATGATGCTTTGGCATGATGACATTTGCCTTATTATAATTTATTTAAATATATGCGTGTGTTAAAATATTTCAGGGAGCCAAAATGTTGTTCCCTAAACACATCAGCACAGGCCAGATACCAGGGCCACTGTGTGTGAATTTGCCTTTTCTCTTTCAAAGCTGATTTTTTGATGCTGAGAGCTTGACCGTGGTGTTGTGATACGCCAATATTTAATTTACAAATAGCGTCATGTGTTGATTCTGTCACCCTGCATGTCTGGAGGTGAAGGACTGAGGTATGGAATTGAAGTAGATCCTTTCCACATACGGGGATCCCCTCCACATTCCTGCAGTGCTCAGCCATCTGTGAAAAGCATTATCTTGCTGTGTTGTGAAATGTGCATTTACTATCTGTTTTCCCATTGCTAAATTGTGTAACTTCATTGTATAATGAGAAACCAAGAGCTTTGTAGTGGTAGCACGGAGAAGAAATACTTTTCTTACAATTTTGGACTCTTCCCATTGTTCGTTCATTTTTTTTTCTTCCACAGAATCAAGGGTGGCCACCCTGTTTTATGAAGAGAGTGAATTAGGTGTGAAGTACTGGAATACAACACACCATTACAGACATGTCCCCCTGGCTTCCTGAAAGCCTGATTTGACTTGCCATATGGTCAACATGACAGAGAGAGTGATCATTGAATACTGATAGAGCCCTGACTGCAGACTCCACTCTGCCACTCCTGGCTCAGTGTCCTTCTAATGACACAACTTTTCAGTGTATTTCCAGGCCAATCAATTTCATCTTCTCCTCTACAGTCACATGTGTGCATTTAAAATGTCAAGTATATGTTCTAGATTGAGCTTCCTATCTTATCTGTCTTATTTCTCCTTACCACCCAATGTTGATTCATCGTCCAAGCAAAAATGTTTGTGGAACCATAATGATGACAGGTTCCCTCTGTTTTCTTTATATCTGTTACTGTAGGAATAGAGTAGAGTTTATTGCGGCAACCCTAGTACCTCGTTCAGTGTCTTCCATTTAGTGTACCTGATATGTATAAATTAAATTGAATTTAATTCTCTTTTCTATAGCAATGGTTTTTGTTTTCTTATTGCAATGTCATATTTTTCTAATTATCCTCTGTCTACTCTTCTGTGTCTTTTACCTAGGCATTATTGGCATGGAATGCCAACTTTGGATATGTTTTTCTCATTTTGTACTTGTTTCTGTGTTTTATGTTTCTGCTTATATTGCAAAGGCTTTCAATTCATGACACTATCTTTAGCCCTCTCATTACTCAGTTTAGTGCACACTGTATAATGGCCATTCTGTATATTGTCAGGATGACATACTGCTGTATGAACATAACCCAAGCTTTTTCATTCCCAAGTTTCACTTTCATTTCCTTTCTGATTCATTTCAAGTCCACACAATACTCCTTATTTCCAGGAATCGTTTTCTGAAGCTGTGGATAGACTTCAGGAGACAGCTAATTTAGTATGCCTAAAGCAGCATAATTGAACTGTGGAAGGCACTGTTTTTGTATTCAGTTGGTTAATGAGTGTACTTTTTCAATGCTGAAGCAGGAATAGTGCCAGCAAGCAAACTTTACGGAGAGTACATGACATGCTTTTCTGTCTTCTAGTTTCTACTGATTCATCAGAACGGGGCATTGTTCTGTGATCCTTCCTGCAGTTTCAAAACAGATCTACATTCCATAGCTTCCTCATTTCAAATGGCCAATTTATCGCTAACTTCAAAAACGTGCTCTGTGTCACTTTTTAAAACAAATCAGCAAGTCACATCTTACATGGATGGCGGCAGGCAAAAAGAGAGCTCCTCCTTGCCTTCCGCCATGATTGTGAGGCCTCCCCAGCCATGTGGAACTGTATAAGTCCATTAAACCTCTTTTGAAAATTAAAAAATAAATAAATAAATAAATAAAACAAATCAGAATCTTCCATGTGCTAACTTTTCCATGCTTTTGAAGTTGCTAGAAACTTGATAACATATCTTCTGTAACTCTTAGCTCTCTTTATTTCTAGAGTACAGCATGGTATTGGCAAATACAACCATTTAATATTCTAACACTTTGTAGCTAACTGAAAGAAGGGGATCTGATTTTGCAAGGAAAAACCCAGAAAATGTATCACACATCAGAGGATAAGCAAGTTCTGCCTGAAAGCATTTCAAATAATATTTAATGGAAAAGTTAAAAACAAAACTACTGAATTGATCTCTCAAAGCAGATTTCTAAGTTACAAAATGCAAAGGATTAATACTGTGTGAAGTACTAGAGTTCTGTTGTATGAATATGGTAGCTCAGAGCTCAAAACCCACAGTAATGTGGATTTCACAAAAGGCCTTATCATTTATTTGGGGAGATTTTTTGCACAGCCGACAGTGTTCCATTAAGGTGTGTTTGTGAATGCTGTCCGATCACCCCACAGACGGTGAAAATGTGTCCTCCTTCTGAATACGAAGCAAGCACTCTGCAGGGGATATAGGAGGGTTTGAGTTCTAATTGGAGGCAAGTAGTTCTATATCTCCTGGTTTACCAGCACATTCATGGAAATCTTTTTTTTTTTTTTTTTTTTTAAGAGAGAGTGTGTCACTCTGTCACTGAGGTTGGGATACAGTGGCACAATCACAGCTCACTGCAGCTTTGACTTTCTGGGCTCAAGCGATCCTCCCACCTCAGCCTCCCAGGTAGCTGGGATTATAGGCACAAGCCACTGTTTGTGGCGGGAAATCAATTTGGAGACAAAAAGCTACAAAGTTGACCTATTTTCTTATCCAAGGAATCAATAGTATTTCAAAAACCAGTGAATATTTATGCGTGAGAAAAGTGTTCCTCATTTTTTCCTTGTCTCTCTCTGTGCTAACTGAACTGAGAATCTAGGTCTGAACAACTGCAAAGGACCTTTAAAGTTAAGCACTTTTAAAAGCCTTGACATTTGGTATAATTATTCAGATGGACTGCTTGTTCACATTTTTTAAAGGTATTGATAGTTAACTGGATATCCGCAAGTCTGATTCTCTCTACTATAAGTGGAAAAAGAGACTGGAGAGTAATGAGTTTCTACAAGACTTAAAGGAAACCCTCTATGTATTGATCTATTCTCATACTGCTGAGTTCTTTGATAAGTTCTTAGAGACACAAAGAACTCTTGGGCTAGTTGCATAGGAAGTCTGCAGTGAGCTCCTGAAATCACATCTTTAAGAAGGCAGCTCAGAACATTGGCTGTTTGTAGAAAGCACGTCCTCCTAGGGAGAAAGGGCAAAACTTCTCCTGAGCCTCATACTGTTAGATAGATCCCCAAGCAACGGAAGCAGCTTCAAATGTACTTGCTATCCATAACTGGTCATTTTCTCCACAAAGCAAGGTGACGTGATTTGGAACTCTCTATGAGAAGCCAAGGAGATAATTCTGAATCATGTCATCTCACAAAGTTATGGCAAGAGCATTCTGTAGGGGAGAACACATAGTTTCTTTTCTTTCCCTTTTTGGGTTCTTAGTTGAGACACTCTGCTGAAAACAAAAGTCAGTTTAAGAAAACAAAAACAAGTGGCCGGGTGCGGTGGCTCACGCCTGTCATCCCAGCACTTTGGGAGGCCAAGGCGAGTGGATCACCTGAGGTTGGGAGTTTGAGACCAGCCTGGCCAGTGTGGTGAAATCCCGCCTCTACTAAAAATACAAAATTAGCCGGGCGTAGTGGTGGGTGCCTGTAATCGCAGCTACTCGGGAGGCTGAGGCAGGAGAATCACTTGAACCTGGGAGGTGGAGGTTGCGGTGAGCTGAGATGGAGCCATTGCACGCCAGCCTGGGCAACAAGAGCAAAACTCCGTCTCAAACAAAACAAAACAAAACGAGCAGACATTTATTAACCCATGTTGTACCACCCATCATGCAGGAGAGAGAGACCTCAGCTCAAAAATTGTTTCTCTTTCAAGTCAGTGGCTTAAGGGCTTTGCTCAAATAGTTTTTTTTTCTATTCATTTTTAGCAAATGATGCTGGAACAACCAGATAACCATATGCAAGTAATGAATCTGGACCCCTGTCTCATAACATATACAAACCTTAACCCAAATTGATCAAAAAGCTAAATGTAAGAGCTAAAACTATAGAATTCTTGGAGAAAATATTGAAGTAAAGACAACACTGAATTCCTTTTTTTTTTTTTTTTTTGAGACGGAGTCTCGCTCTGTTTCCCGAGCTGGAGTGCACTAGCGTGATCTCGGCTCACTGCAACCTCTGCCTCCCAAGTTCAAATAATTCTCCTGCCTCAGCCTCCCCAGTAGCTGGGACTACAGGCGCCCGCCACTACACCCGGCTAACTTTTGTATTTTTAGTAGAAACGGGATTTCACCATATTGGCCAGGCTGGTCTCGAACTCTTGTCCTTGTGATCTGCCCTCTTTGGCCTCCCAAAGTGCTGGGATTACAGGCGTGAGCCACTGCGCCCGGCCTGCACCAATAGTATTTAAACAGAGAGCCATAAAATCCTATATAGCAACAAGACAAAGGAGAGAGCAGTTCGAGTGTTTTAAAAGATAGTAAAATGTGGGAAGTTAGTAAAATCTGTTCTCAGATTCCTCCAGTGCCTGCTGGTACCTTTTTTGGGTCAATAAACAAGTGCCGTCTCCAGTAAGGAAGGATTGGTGTCCTGTCATCAGGCAAATAGAGGCTGAAACAGTGTCCCCCTATATTTTCTGTGTCTTTAACAGCCCTCAATATGTTGGGGAGAAATATTTTGATTTCTTTCCATTCCTAGCGATCACTTTTACCAAGTGAAGAGTTGGAATCTCAAGATTCTGGGAGACTTTCCCATGGCCGCACTGTTAGGGAATGTTGAAGGTTTTCAGTATCCTGGTCTCCCAAGGCAGGGCTGCTTCACCACATCATGCCCATTTTCTTACCCAGAAGATAGTCTCATGTAAATTAAGAGAAACGTCTCTTCCAGCAAATGCTTGTCTCCTAAGGCTGTCCACTTCCTTAGTTCAGGCATCTGTGGGGAGGTTTTGGAATCCTGGAGGGAAGAGTTGGCCAAGCTTTAGGGTGGATCAAGGAGGCCACATCTCTACATAGTTACCTGCTTTGTATCCATTGCTCCAATAGGGTCTTCTACCTTCTGGTAGTCTCCATAATACCAGAGGGATCAGGATTACTTCCTTGTATGCAAATCTTCACTAAATCCCAATGCTTACTGAAGGAAGTGGCAAACCTCTTAAGCTGATTTTTAGTTTTTTAGTTTAAAAGACCTCTCCAGCTACTTTCTTTAGATAAATTATCGTTTAATATGTTGGTTTTTGCTCCCACATCTTACCATAACTTCCGTATTCTTCTCTCTGTGAATTCTATAAAATAGTAAGAATACACAGTACAAAAAGGCACACTCAAAGCCAGAGAGAGACAGTGAAGAAGAAGAAGAAGGAGGAGAGAGAGAGACAGATTGAGAGAGAGAACTTAGGAGAGAGCTATAAGATGTTGTAAAATTGTGAAATGATACTTACACTCTCCCAAAAAAAGAGTGTGGCAGATATGAATACTTCCTATTCCTCATGCACCCACAACAGACTATGATCCCTTTGCCTTTCTCAATTTCCCTTGAATTTCTCTTGTATATTTTCTGACATTTGTGCAAATTAAGACAAATTATTGATACCCAACATTCTCAAACTAACAAATAAAAATGCTTATATATATATATATATATATATATATAAAGAGCCATAACCGGGTAGATAAAAATTATATAGATGTTTGTGTTTGCAATGAACAGATAGAAATATCCACTGATGTTATTATCTAGAAAAAAAATTTGTGATGACCTGCCTAGTTTTCCAAAAATTTACAACACAAACAACAAATCGATTTCTTTTTGCATAATTCACAGCTTATTTTGGCATCACACAAACTGCATATTAAATCAAACGTAACATTTTGTCATTGTAGTGAACATAACATTAAATTAAGTATGTTCCTCTTGGGCTTCACATTATAAATAATAGCATCAATGATATTCTAATTCCTGGTTTATTATTATTTTTTTAAAATGAACAATGATATGAAAATTTATGGTAGCAAGACCATATCACCACATAATTCTGTTGAGTGATATAAAAGATCCATTTATTGATTGTGATAATCTTAGAGGCCTGTGTTACTTTATCGTCAGAATTTTAAAATAAGTAAGAAAGGAGAGATTTCTCATTGGAGCCTTACTGAGACAGTTTCAGGCATATGAGAATTAAAGGAATGCATTAAACTTGAAAGTCAGGCTTAATCTATCTAGTGGAAAAAAAATCTTTTTAAAAGGTTCCAAAATACTCAACACAGATCAACTCACTGATAAAGTTATAATATTTCTCATGTATCCTATTTTATTCACCCAGCAATGGGGATCCCTGAAATCTTGGGTCACCCTATTATGATTGCAGTAGCTGCACATGGGCGGGGTCCACTCTTTTTTTTTTAAAAAAATAATTCTTCTTAAACAGCCTACCAGGAAAGAATAAAGACAACCCAGTGAAATGTGTGACAGACGGAAACCCAGATGCAAAGCTAAGTCACAGAGGAGTCAAGATTTCATTGGAGATGAATTTGGTTGTGCTCCCAGGGACAGAGATTAAACCACTCAACCATAGCACTCAGTGCCCAGATAAAGGATTCAGATTCATTTCAGGTCCGCAGAGGTGGAGGAAAAGATTTCAGAATCTACCAAACAGGCATAAAAAAACAGATGTAAATTAAATATGTTAAATACTCAAAATACCCAATGAAGAGATTAAAATTTGCTTGTATTAGAATATACAGAAAATATTTTTGCATCACTGTTCTCAAAGGAGGCCAAATGTTTAAAATATTGTGTTAAAATAATTTTTCCCAATTATTCCCTACTATACCAACTGCAAAATTTCTCCCGTTTCTGTGTTTAATAATATGTAGTCAAAAATGATAAAAATTCTAAAACCAGCATCTACACAGAAGCTCTTTTAACATCAAATTGAAAGCTTGATCCTTATCATTTAATAGGAAATGAACGATTTATTTTTTGAGTTAAGAAACTGTTTCTTAAATTTAATCTTCTATTTTTTAAAACAATGCCATGAGTAAAATTTACTTGAAGCAATTCGTTGCTAGAATCATCATCTCTTGGCATTTCAACACAATGAAGCCTATACTTTGTAATAAATATGTCAATTCTACAACTTTTAAGAGTAGATACTTTAAACCATGTGCAAAAAATGAATCTCTACAATGTTTTCCTTTAGTTACACTTGTGAAGCATTTCATATTCTCAAACTTGAGGTGGAGAAAACTCTCTGATTTCCTTAAAACATCTTAACATTTAACAACTTTAGTCATACATGCAATGTGAATAAATACAATCTCTGAATAAATGTAATATTCAAATGCCTTTCATAGTACCTGGCACATGATATATGTTCAATAAATGCTTATTAAAAGTAAAATTGTCTCCTAGATACAAAGATGGGAAGAGGTGGCATTAGGAAAATGCCATGTACAGAGATTTACGGATTTGTGTGTGTATTGATTACTGTGTCTAATGGGTAAAGCATTTTAGACAGCCATTTGAAGCCAAAAGAAACAGGAAACTGTATCATCTCTCTTTTACACTTGGGCCAAGAGATAAAGGGAATCTACTATCACACAAAAGGAAATAGTAAAACTTATGCCTGAGGAACTATAAACTCATATTTTACAAACAGACATTATCTTCTCTATTAAATTTGTGTGTGTGCATCTATGAGTCAATGTGCATATAATTATCTGATAAAAAATTATTTAAAATGTGTATGTATATATTAATGTGAATAATGGGGATAGCTTCCCAAGGATATATATTTGGAACCTATTTCTTTAACAAAATTATTTTAAATACCCCGTAGCTGCCTTGATAAATGGTAGTGCTTTAGAGAAAAAAGATTATTCTTTGGCTGAAGCTCATTACTGTCTCTTTATCTAGGACTTAGAAGAACTGCTAGCCGGGCTAAATCTCTCTGAATATATATCTTATGCTGTCTGAGGAATAAATCACGCCCTAACATTTCTAACTCTGTGTAACTGTTTGAAGGGTTGCATTGCATGTTGCACATTCTATAAGTGCTTCTCTTCCTTATTGTTCTTCACGAAGATGTAAATGGACCACAGGTGGACAATAGCAGGTGCCTCCTTCATGCATCTCTCCCATATGAAGAAAAGCAAACGTCTCTGTCTAGTGTACTTTGGGACTGGATAATTGCCCTCTCTTCTCGCTAAGCTAATTTTATATAAAATGGACTCAAGTATGACAGAAAGAAAAACAGAAAGGGATTCTATGAGAAACAGCACAAAATTGAAGTGGATTCTTTGGGGAACCACAGTGCTGTAGTAAATTAATGAAAATATATTTTCATTCTACTTATGTGCAAAGCATTATCTTGTGTTTCCAAATCATTACTGCGTAAAAAACTCCAGTTTATGCCTTACCTTTGCCTGCTTTAAAAACGTTACTATTAGACAATACAAATTATCAAATCAAATCAGAGTCACAGGAATCATAGATCTAACTAATACCAAATTTTACGGATAATGTGAAGGATACTGGTAATTATAACAAACAGAAAAAAAAATAGAGAAATTTGACCAACAATGCAGGTGCCCTTTCTTCTTCTATTAACACATTTTTTATTTCAAAATTAACATGTAAGGGGCTAATACATGCATCAGGACATTACTTGCACAAAGGTAACCCTTTTGTTAAGGATTATTTCCTATTAACATTTCATTAGCCTGTGTAGACCAGGTACAACCGGCTAGAAGCATTTCATATGTAAGGATTCTATTACTACCACATATTGTTACTGTATTGCCATTAGCAATTTTGCAAGAGTTTTTGAACAAATCATCTTTTTCTGTCTTTCCCAGGCACCTCCTGTAGAGAGAGGAAATAGATTAGGCTGTTAGAGCTATAAAAATACCCTAAAAGTGTTTTTTCTACTCTCTACTCTCATGCGGTCACATATCTGGTATCAGACGATACCAGACCAGATATGTGAGGCATGTTTCCCCACACACCAACCAATCAATTCTGCAGTGGATACCAGCCAGATGTCTTTTAATTTAAATCAATTGTGACGCTCTCTATATGATGAAGGCTTAGTCTCACAATACAGTCCCCCACTTTAGACCGCAGTTGCAAGTCTGGGCCACCACAAACTTCTGACCAACTGGCTATAAATCAGGGTTCCCACAACTTCCTCCTTGGGTTTGATTCATTTGCTAGAGCTGCTCACAGAACTCATGAAAACACTTTTGTGTATTGGTTGATTATAAAGGATATTACAAAGAGTGTGGATGAATGGCCAGAGAGCAGAGTTGCAGAAGGCAGGTGTGTGGGAAGAGCTGCCATGCCCTTTCTGGGCAGGCCACCCTCCAGGAAGCTCCATGAGTTCAGCTATTTGGAAGCTCATTGGACCCAGTCCTATCAGGTTTTTATGGAAGCTTAATTATATGGGCATGATTGATTAAATCATTGGCCATTGGTGATCAGCTTAACCTTCAGTTCCTTTCTGTCCCCAAGGCTGGGGATGGAAATGAATATCCCAACTCTCCAATTATGCCTTGGTCTTTCTGGTGACCAGCCCCCATCCCAAGCTATCTAGCCTCTCCTACCATCAGTCATCTCATCAGCATACAAAAGACATCACTCAAGAGATTCCAAGGGTTTTAGGAGCTATATGTCAGGAAACTGGATAAAGACCAAATCTATGCTTCACAATATCACATAGGCCTTCCACGCTAACCCTTTTTTCCACAACCATAACAAGCTTTTTTACCTCTTAAAAGTTGGGAGTTTGTAATTTTTTCTTATTGTAAAATCACTATACAAACATCACAAATTTGGAAATCCTAGAATGTATTAACACTGAAAAGTTAAAAAAGAGAAAAATCACAGTTCTATATCTATGGATAAACTAGTAAAACATGTCTCCAAAACTTGTGTGTGTGTGTATTGATTTGCTTTCTACTTATTATATCATCATTGATATCAATGACATCAAAATTTCATTGCCTTGTATTCCAATGTGTAGACCTTCTTTCATCTATCATCATTTTAGTTGGTTTGCAATATTTACTTATTTATATAGCACTCTAATGAAAACTTTCAATCAGATATCCCTGGGGACATCTCATGATTTTTATTTGATACATTCTTATATGAAACATGTGCAATTAAGGGATTTTAATTAAATATTATAGAGTGTATAAATTTAAACCACCACTAAAGTATAGTGGTACCATTTTATTATAGCCATTTTATAATCGTATATTCTCTTTGTAAAATATCTAAAGATTTAGAGTGTTAATACTTTCCATTATGGCTAAAGAATGTGGATAATTAGTTTATTCTTCATGGTCTTTCCTAAATGAGCCTTGAAGATGCTACATCATTTTCATACTAATTTGAAAAAACACCACATATTTTAAAATGTTACAATTTTAATAAGTAATATTTTATAATGTTTTATATACAGAGAAACCTGATTTAACAATAGTTTGACTTACAAGTTTTCAGTTTTACAAAGGTGCAAAAGTGATATGCATTGAGATGCTCCTCAACTTATGACGGGGTTATGTCAGGATAAACCCATGATAAGTTGAAAACGCTATAAGTAAAAAAGTGTACATTTGATTTAGGATATTTTCAACTTCCAGTGGGATTATGGAAGAGTAACCCCATCAAAGTCAAGGAGCATCTGTATCTTCATAACAGTATATTTTATAATAAAATGGGATGCTTTTGCATAATCCATTGTATAATGGTGCATAGCATATTTATATATCATAAAGTGATATATGTATTTAATGCTTATGATATATTGTATTATATGCGGTACATATGAAATATGAAATAGGTATTATATGTTATTTTATGTATTGTCTGTTTATGATCTATATTTTATTTTTATTGGTAATAACAATTTTACATAATATAGGCTACATAAAATATTTCACTTTTACAATAAATTTTGCAAATTATTTTTCTACTTATTCTATTGCTATTTAATTGATTCTTTTTTCACATACTTACAAATTTTATATATTTAAATAAATAATTTTGTACTCTGTTCCCTTTGCATTTCTTCTTTAAAATTTATTCAATTCAAATAGCTTTAAAAATTTATAATTATATTTGAGTAATATAATTGATTCACTAGTCATTTTTATTTTTATTTTTATTTTTTTGAGACAGGGTCTGGCTCTGTGGCCCAGCCTGGAGTGCAGTGGCGGGATCTTGGCTAACCGCAACCTCTGCCTTCCAGGCTCAAGTGATCCTTACGCTTCAGCCTTCTGGGTAGCTGGGACTCCAGGTGCACACTACCACGCTTGCCTAATTTAGCTATTTTTTGTAGAGACAGGGTTTCACGATGTTGCCCAGCCTGGTCTTGAACTCCTGAGTTCCAGTGATCCATCTGCCTGGGCCTCCCAAAATGCTGGGATTATAGACATGAGCCACCACACCCATCCTGTGATTCACTATTCTTAATGCTGTTATTTCGTTGGAAATAATTTGACTGCCATTAGCTAGGGAATATTTTTTCAATATCATTATAACTATTGTTTTTATTACAATATTTATAAGAGGTTACCTCTCACTATTCTAAAATCTTATTTGATTATACACTTGTGTTTGTTTCTGGGATTTTTTTTCTATTTTATTTTTGTCTGTGCAGCATTTCTACAGTATTGATAATTGCTGCTTAATAAAATATTCAATATCTGGTATTAGAAATTTATTATTGCTTTTATTTTCCAAAGTGTGTTAATTATCTTTAAGTCCTTCTTTGTCCAGAAATTTAGAATTATGTAGACATGTCTTCCCCATTCCTTCTACCTTTAAGACTATGTTGGAACTTCCATTACATTTCTGAATCAATTTGAGGTAAAAAATTACAAACAGAAAACAGTACTGTTGACTCTGGTGGGGTTTAGATTTCATCTTGAAGATAAAGCTGGTTTTCTTTCAAAGGGAGGAGTTGGATGAAAATTGGGAGACTTTAGAACAATGTAAATTTGAAATCATAAGTTGTTTTCTTAAAGGAAGCTAAAGATGCTTCTCCTAACTCTCAGCTTTAAAGTATGGGAGAGGAAGGAGTTAGGGCTATTTGTTAAAAATAGATCAGCATTCTAGATTCAAACCCCTCCCCTTCCTGTATGGAAGGAGAAATGAACAAGAAAGAGACTCTCAGGAAGTTACCAGGATGATGGGGTGTGTGTGTGTGTGTGTGTGTGTGTGTGTGTGTGTGTGTGTAGCAGGAAAGAGACCACTATTAGTCAGTAAATATTTAGCTCTAGCTAACGCAGTGAGTATGCCTTTTTTCATACCATTACATCAAAAAACAGGTACTGAACCTCAGAAGGGAGAAATATTTTTCAGGTAGAAATCCAGCACAAGAATGAAAAAGTCATACACATTTCAAAAATCTTCGAAGAAAATTAAGGATAATGCATTTTTATTTTAATTGAGGAAATATTTATTTAAAAGTTATAATAATTATAGCTATAAAACATGAAACTAATTTTACTGTTAAAATTGTAAAAGTACTAAATATGAAGAAGCTATACAAAATAAATATATTTGTAACACATACAACAGACAAAATATTGGTTTCTAGAATATGTTTCAAAACCACTACAAATTAATAAAATCAACAGAAACATTAACTGAAATTCATGAGAAAATTAACAGGAATATTCAGTAAACATATGAAAACATATTCAACCTCAGTAATAATCAGAAAAATTTAAATTACTACCAAGTAAATTAGTATTTTTTACATATTGATTTTAAAATAAAATGTGTGATAAGACTAAGTGTTGGCAGGTTATGTAGCCACAGACATCATTACATACGGCCAGAGCGAGTCTACCCTGGTAATCTCCACCTTAGACAAATAATTATAATCTAGCATTGCAAAAAAGAAATAACACATATCTACCAGAGATATACACAACAATTTCATACCAGCATTGTTAGTAATTAGAAGAATTATAAGCAATCTATGTTGCAACAGTAGGAAAATGGATAAATGAGCTGTAGTATATGTATAAAAGAGTCAAAACAGAGAAAATGAATGAACTAGAACTACATCTTTAACATATATGAATACTTTTCAAAAGAAAACAATCTGCTTGAGATTATATACAATATTTTCCTATTTATACAAGGTTTAAAACAGAGAAACAATATTATAAATGTGCAGTGATACCTGTGTTGCAGGACTTTTCCTCAGTCAGCTAAAGGCATCTTTGTCCGTCCCACAGCCACAAAAATTTAGGCTTGCAGATGGTTTGAAGGGTGAGTGAAGCAGGGTTTTATTGGGTGAAAAGGGAAAAACGGGGAAACAGGGATGCTCTGCAAAGCCGGAGTCCCTGCTAGAGCGCTTCCTGCCAAGCCGGTGGAATTTCAGGTTCCACACAGGAAGAGGAGGGGCCAGGCTGCTCCCAGCTACAAATGTCATCAACTTCCTGAGGTTCCACCCTAGTGCACAGGCCAGATGGAGTTTTCCAGAGACCCCCTCCCACCTGGCTGTCTTATTCCCCCGTCTAAAGAAGTACATATAACTGCTGTTAGAATAAGGATAAGCGTAAGAATGAAGACCAGTGTTAACTGCTTCCTGATGACAGGGGGCACTGTTTTGGGGAAGCATCAGTCAGAGGCCCATGTAAGGGTTCCCCGCAGAAGGGGCCATCCTCAGAGGCTCTGGTTGGGTGACTGGTTGGAGTTTGATGGCCTGAAGGCAAGAACAGACGAACCAGGTTATTAGAAAACATGTATCAGAATGAAACAAGGGGAGGGGTAAGGAGAGCTCAAAAATCCCGAGGCCTTTTACCAGTTTGCAAAGGGAGAAGGAGGCCAAAAGCTTGACCGGTAAAAAAAAACTTCACCCTTTTGCCGGCACACTGGGCTTCTGTGTTCCCTTCCCCTGAGCCTAATCTCAAGCCAACCAGTTCAAGGTTTGGGAAATTAACTCTTTCCAGTTTGGAGGATGCATCTGAGATGAGTGTCCCATAGTACAGGGACACAATTACCTATCTGTGAAGAAAAGACAGAGAAGGGGAAAGGAAAAGAGAAGGCATTTTTTAAAGGAGTCCCAGGGATTCAGGATGCATTTGAAAGGGGTACAGAGTGAAGATGAATGGCTACCCATCTAGAAAGGTGAGCAGGCATCCATGGTTCCCTTCACTTCCTAACAGATACCCGGGGTACTTCAGGGAGTGATGGAAGAGCGTCCTTTTTCCATCTGCTGTCCTTGCATCCCCAAGTTCTGGAGAACTTGGCAAGTGCCACCATGAGTACCAAAGCGGCTTGCACCCATGAAGCTGGGGGGCCTAGAGAATAGGAATTATCTGCTTTCACCTATACCTCTATCACCCCTACTGTAAGTAGCCTTGGAGTTCCCTAGACCTCTTTCATGCCATGGATATTAACGTGGCCTTTATCCATGAAACAAGAAGCCTGGGTTGGCTTAATGGGCAGGAATCAGCTACACTCACTTGTGCTGTGCCTTTTAACTTCCATTATTGTCTGCCTCCGGATCCCTCAGATCCAGTTTGACCCAAAGCTTGGGATTGCATGGACTCCTTATGATAAGCTGAATGCTAAGGTAAAGCTGTGGAAGTGAGTCCTCTTCCAACAAGGGAGAGAAAAGGATGTCTTGTGACACACCCAGATAACTGGTGGCTATGGTTATGCCTGCTAGGGTTTCGGTGCGTGGTGCTTGGCTTTGGTTAGGGCTCTTGGTCTTACTCTCCCAAAAAGGAAACTTGCTAGTGATGGACATTCTATTTATTCCCATCACCTGGCAGGATTTGCAGGATAATTGCTCAGAACTAGAATATTGATCCAGATTTCTACATTACCAGATAACACCCCTCTTGTTCTTTCTGAGCTGCAGCTGGGGATTGCTGGTTGGTTCACAGGAATAAGCAGGGTTAGTCTAAAAATGTAGGCAAAAACTTAAAAACAACTAGTGAGTTTAGAATTTAATGACAAATGTATAACTTTTGAAACATAATTTCTCTCCAGTCCTCACTTTTGTTAAGAAAAAAAAACCATGATAAGACCGAGTGTTTTGCAAAATAGACTTTAGCCTTATACTTGGCCTGATTATTTGCATAATAATTATTTCTACACAGGCCTTTTAGATTGGCTTTGATGGAACTCTGTTCCTCAAGGGATCTCAGATAAGACCTTTTAAAGCCATCCTAGCCATGGGTTTATTCTCAAATACATGTGAGTTGGGTCATCCTCTCCTCTTACGGTCCCAAGATAAACTTGGAGCTCCTGGACCTGTTAGAAAGTGACACTCTTTACTGATCACAGGTCAGGAACCCTATACAGGGACTGAGTATGAGGACAGCTTCCGCATGGGGCTTTTATTGGCTCTGCAAGTCAAGATTGACTCCGTAAAGGGAAGTATGCCCTTCCAGTCAAAGCCTTGGTAAAATAACCAGTTTTTCCAATTGTTTTCTGTTGCAAAAGAAAAATGGATTCTTATTGCACTGATGCAAACAACTATATTGCCATAAGAATACTCACAGGTAGTTTCCAAATTCTAGAGGAACCAGGCAGAGAGAAACAAACATGCTACAAATTTTGATCACAGGAGTGTATACTTTCCTTATTAATGACTGTAAATAGTTCAAAATAAGTTTCCTTGACTGTGAAAAACAAAACAAGGATCAGCAATATTCCAAGCAAAAGTCAAAAAGATTTGCTTCAGCTTCCTGAGTTCAGTCCATCTAGTTAACTCGTTTTGCTTGGTATTTGTGAATATTTCAGCTCTTTATGAGCCCCATAAATTTTCCTTTATTTCAATGTTACAATCTCAAAAGCTTTCAGAAGCCTGTATTTGAGAGCACCACCTAAAGTTCTATAGCTTATTATAAACCATCTTTTGAAAAGGATTAAAGCAAGACAACAATTGTCTGTGAATAGCAAAATGCCCAGGGTAGTGACAGTTAGAAACACAACTGACAAAAATGTTTGGGTATCTCTGTGGTTTGCAATAACTTAACCTTAATTATGATTGGTAGCATATACTTAGACATTAGAATTTTAGAAATCTCATACAATGTTGGAACATATATTAGCATTATTTACCAAGATATAACCTAAAGAAGACTGAACATCATTTTGGCAATCCCATGTACCTAAACATGTCAAATAATTCTGTTTACCTCTCTTCTCTGGACACTTCAGGGGCCCTGTCAAACTACTCAAAAAGCCAGGTGCCGGGGAAGACAATTTTGAAGCTCAAGTTTGATTTTGGGAAGGCTGTTAAATGTTCAAGGTTTAAAACACTTGATATTATGAAACAGAATTCCAGATTACCACAAATTATTTGTTTTGCAAAAATGATGACTCAGAAAACGTAAAGAAGCAAAAACCTTTTATAACCCTTTACAGATTTTGCCAAAGAGCAGCTAATGCCATAGGAAACCTTTGTTAGGCTTTTATTTCAATGCTCAATTTACAGAAAAACCATATAATACGGTTTTTTGAATTTAGTCAATATGTTCACACAGAGAACCTCTTCGGCAAGGTTAATTTTCACAATTCTTCCATCACTTCTTTGAACCCTCAGCTTTTTAATAATTTAATTCAAAACAATCCTTTAACCCTAGGCAAAAATTTACATTTTCATGCCTTCTTATAACCTTTTACTAAAAAACATACTTCACTGTTCTTACACTCCTTGCATGCAAATCTATTTCCAGTAGTCTCAATTACATGTTATAATGGTAACTCCTAGTAATTTTTAACAATAATTTAAAACCTGGTAAATTGTTTTAATTGTGTGCTAACTGTAGCCAAGGTTTGCCTTCTTAGTTAAGGAGGTGATTAGTTCCATATGTCCCCAGGCCCTACCAGCCGTGAAGCAGAGGAGACAGACAGTTTTCAAAACCCAAAAAGCAGTTTGTAACCTTGAAACACTTAGCAAACCTTGCATCTTACCTACATTTTACCAATAATCTTTAGGGGCTGTTTTGATTTCTCAAAGATTAAAGTCATGCGAACTGAAAGGTACCACAGCTTTTAACTTCCCTTAAAAAATACTTGATCCAAGTGCTTGTCTTCTTTAGGACAAATTAATTAGAGATCTTTTTAAAGACAGCACACACAGTATACACACACACACACAGGCATTAGAAAATCCAGTTGCTGGGTGAGGCCCTTTAAGAGACAGGGCTAGGAAAACATGCAGATATCAAACCAGAGAGGGCTCATCCTCTGAGGCAGGATTGCTCAACAAACCTTGCCAAGCAGTTACTGGTCACGCCCCCAGGATGTAAAACAAGATGGAGGCTTGCAGCACACACCATACAGACATGCAAAGCACACCAGGATTGGCCACGGCCCAAGACTAGCCCTACAAATCCTTTTCCACAATTGAAGCTTTACAGAGACTAAGTTCACTGCTGACTGGGTGTGAAGAGGAGAAAAAAAAAGGGGTTTAAAAATGCCTGGGGAAGAACCTCTTACTCTTACCCAAGTGGTTCCTCCACCAGGGAGACAAGTTTAATTGCTGTGGGTCAGAGCTGGCCTCCCCGGTGCAGGGAGGAGGAGATCCCATGAGTGCGTGGCAGAAAACGCCAGCCACTCATGACGCCTTGAGCCAGGTATCCCAGCCCCGGCAGGGAAGGGAGGGCGGTGGGGAGCCGCTGCTCACCCGTTCCTTCCAAAAAAGGGAGAAAAGGCTGTGAAAAGGCCCCTAACCCTAGGAGTAATAGGGGGTGGTGGCATGGTTTCCTCTACCCTCAGAAGCCGGAGGATGAGAGGGCTCAGGAGAGAGAGGGAAGGGAAAGAATTATTGGCATGCATTTCACTCACTGTTTGTAGAGCCTCCACAGTGCGTACCAAAGATGTCGCAGGACTTTTCCTTAGTTCAGCTGAAGACGGGGTCCTTGTCTGTCCCATGGCCACAAAAATTTAGGCTCACAGGCTGTTTGAAGGGTGAGAGAAGCAGGACTTTTTTGGGTGAAAAGGAAAAATGGGGGAAACAGCGATCCTCCATAAGGTCAGAGTCCCTGCTAGAGAGCTTCTCACCCACAGCTTGAATTCCAGGTTCCACACAGAAAGAAGAGAGGCCAGGCTCCTCCCCGCTGCAAACAGCATGAACTTCCTGAGGTTCCACCCCAGTGTGCAGGCCGGTTGGAGTTTTTCTGGGGATCCGCTCCCACCTGGCTGTCTCGCATGCTTTTTTTCTTTTTCCTTTTTTTTTTTAGTGAAAGTTCATACTCTGGCTAAATGTACAGGAATTCCAGAATATTAAATTCCAGTGGTGATTGCCTGTCAGGGAGGTAATGGGAGGTGATAGAGAGTGAATACAGTCATGGCATATTTTTTCTTTAAGCTCTATATCTTGTTATACAATTTGTTTTCCTGACCTATCTGGAATTTCCCTGCTCTCATAACAGCTTCCCCATGATCCATTCATACCAGCTGGAAAATTCTACTTGGACTTGTTAGTGTTAAGTCTTTGAGGAATAGCCTCCTTAAGGAAACAGCAGAAATGTCATTTTGTTTATTCTTATGGCATCCAGAATCCTGTTTTACTGAAAAGTTTAATGCCACGTTCTTGGATCATTGTGGCTTCCATTCCCAGAGCCTCTGCTGCTTGTCCTCAGGGTGTTTCCGTGGCTTGAAACCCTATTAAAAATCCTTCCCTGCTTAATTGTTTTAAGCAGCTTCTTTTGAGGATCTCTTATCTATTAGTTAGTAAAGACAAATCTTCCTTCCCTTCACATTCCCTTGTTTGAAACAACTCTTTATGTATTTTTGGCACTTAATTATTTAATTATAAGTGAATATAATTTTTTAAAGAAAGTCAGTTGACAGTTTCTTTGGGGGCATTTATTTTTTTTATTTTATTTTTGGTCGGAGGATGTTTATGCTGGGATTCATTCTGATTTCCTTCTCCTTCCTTGCCCTGACATGTCCCCAGAATGCCTCCTCTTCTAAAGTCAAGATGATCACCTTAATTTCCTGCCCTTCTATGGCAAGTTAACACAACCTTCTCCAAATCTGGGCCCAGGCCCTGAAAAGCTCTTGATCACTCCTATAGTAAGAAGGCTGCAGATGTTTTCCCTAGGCTTGGGCTTGGGTAGATGCTGTTGATGGCTACAAGTTCAGAGCTCTTTTCTAGAGATGTAAACTCATTTTTAAGTTTTCCTACTCACCCACCAGGAGACTTTTTCTATTTACTAGGAGCGGGAAATTAATGCAGAAAAGACGGTGAGGGACTGATTTCTGTAGTGTAGCAATGTAGGGGGTAGGGGAAATGTGTAATTCTTAGTAGCCTAAGTGCCTGCAGTAGAAACGTTATGGACCGTACCAGTGTGCAAATGAAAAACTCTGCATTAATACCCATGCAATGTTCATGTTGTCACCAGATTTGATTCTAGAAACATTTCCTACAGGACTGTTTACTGCATTTTATTGTTGAATACTCTCAGCTTCAGGTGAAACACACTGAAGTGTGAAATGGTCAATTATAACTGGATAAACAAAGTTGCTTGGATAAAATATTATTAAACTGGGTGGGTGGTTGTTTAGTGTTCATTTTTCTTTATCTCAGGGCAGGGGGTATACGGAGTAGAAGAAGGGTTTGGCACTTTAGGAAGATGACTTTGTGAGCAAATTCACAGTTACCAAGACCAAAAAGACCTTATAAGTCAATTTCATGCTGAGTTGTTTAAAACCATTTTCACATCAAATATTTCATAACTTCCCTACTCTGTAGAATCTTTCAAAGTTTGAATTTCTATGAGGTAGACCTTACACGATATTCCCCCTTTAATACCATTGGAGAATTAATTTAATCTTGGGAAATACTCTCAAACATTGATACTTTGGAAAGTAAATTCAGAAGGGAATATCAGGAACATAATTTTAAATGGTTTTTAATACATACCCCTGAAGCTTGAGATAGGTATCACACTTTGATGCATATCCTGTGTTTGCTGAAATATCACTTATGAAACCTGTGATTCCTTGACTGAGAGCTTCATTTAGTATCTTATTTATGATTTGCTAGCTGATGGTGCTCCAAAGAAGTGCTTATCTCAAGCCGTATGAGTAATATTTCTGAAGTATTTTTTGAGATCATAGCAGATAGGAATTTCTGACAGTATAGACTGGTATTTTCTGGGACATCTGCCTGCAATTAGAATTTTATTTGGGACTAAATTTACCCAAGATTGGGAAACAAACTTTCTCCTTGTAACTCTCCTATTCATTTTTCAAGTAGTAATGTCATCCTTCAGACACTTTCAATTAGTGGTCTTTGTGGTGTTTTGTGGAGTTTGATGGCTATGGAGGCTAGGAACATAAAAACTTTATGTAAACCATAACTATCATTTGTTTTTGGTGTTCCAAAAGAGATTTGTGAGCAAACAGTGATGGCAAATAGAAATTCCCTTCCCAATTTGTTGGCTGGTGTGCCTAACCTTCTACGTTTCATGGCTGCAAGAGACACAGAGTGAAGGTTATTCAAGTGCACGGGTATATATGACAAATAGAAGAAAAGAGGAAGGTAGGGAGAAAGAGGAGAGAGAGAGAGAGAGAGAGAGAAAGAAAGAGAGAGAGAGAAATTAGAGTTAGAGCTGCCTGGTGAGATGAAACAGAAAAGATGACCTCAGTTATTACTTAAACTCATGGCTCTTAACAAACTGTACCTCCTGGAATCAGATAAGCATCCTCTTGAAGTGAAGCCTAAAGTCACCATACTGACTCTAGATGTTTCTTAGCTATCAAGAAAGCCCTGTTGATTGCTCAAATGCAAAAATGTTTAAATGTTGGTTCCAGGGATTCTATGTTTATATATGTTGTCTTTCTTTTTTTTTTTTTTGACATGGGTTTCTTGCTCTGTCACCCAGGCTGTAATGCAATGGTGTGATCATAGCTCACTCTAGCCTCATACTCCTGGGCTTAAGCGATCCTAAGTAGCTAGGACTACAGGTGTGTGCCACTACACCTGGCTAACTTTTTTTATTTTTGATTTTATAGAGACAGGTTCTGTGTTGCCCGGGCTATGTCTTGAACTCCTGGCCTCGAGTAATCCTCCCACCTCAGCACCCTGATTAGCTAGGACTACAGACATGCACCACCATGCCTGGCTAACTTTTTATTTTTTATTTTTACGATAGGGTCATACTATATTGACCTGGCTGGTCTGGAACTCCTGGCCTCAAGCGATTATCCTGCCTCAGCCTCCCAAACTGTTGGGATTACAGGTATGAGTCACTGCACCCAGCTGTGCCTTTTACATACACTAAAAAAACTCAACTCATGATGAAACATCTTAAATATTGGCAAAAAAATTCATTTCTCTGGAGCAACAATTTAACTTAGGTTGAAAATACAATCTGCTTTTGAATGTTTATGTCATCCACCTGGGATTATTTCTGGCTGTTCAACCAGCAGCTGGTATATTATACTGTCATTAACTTGTTTCCAAGACAATTACTTCTGCAAATATTGTGGGCAAATATGTGCAAGTGTGTACAACCGCGTGTGTGTATGTGTTTGGGGCAGGGTACAGAGTATACAAATGTACATGTGAACACACAGGGCTTGAAAATAAGAAAAGAATATTTTGTCACTTTCTTACATTTATTTGCACAGGGATAAAGGAAATAAGTCAGGCTTATGTCCTTGTCTCTGTGTAAATTATCTTTGCGCTTCAAATGGTTGCTTGCATATGGTGACTTAACCTTTCTTCAGCTCAGGAAAAATTTCTGCATGTTGAAATATATAAAGGCTGAAGCTTATATTATTAAAAATAGACATTTTTTATTTTAGAACCTAATAATCAAATGTCAAATCAGCAACTTTAAAACGTAAATAAAACCTTGAATTGAGATAGGACTTTTCCTGTTTTCCTATGTCTATTGCTTATTTATTTTCATGTAGAAATAATTTTATTATATTTAATAAACCAAAACCCTCAAACTTAACAAATATATTTTGAACATGAGGATAATAATTTTGTCCTACACTAAAGTAAATTTTATTCTTGATTAAGGCCTTTCTTCTGGTGTATAATTTTGTGAAACTTTTAAAGTTAAAAATTATATTGCAAAACTCAAGATAGGTTCTAGTTCAGCCAAAAGTTAATTTATTTTCCTGATATCTAGCTGAGCCAATTTGGATGATGTATATCTCTGAACCAATTAATTGGTGAAGGCATTAGAATTTTCAATAAATGTATAGTTCTATGACAGAATCAATAAACTCATATATTATGAATTAAAGTGTTGAAAGAATGGTATTATTGCAGCAAAACTTTTGTGCTGTTTTCAGAATATGGTAAATGGATACTGGGTAGCAAATATAGAAAAAATTCTAACAAATGCATTGACACAATCTTGTTTCTGCCTTATCCCTCGGCCATTGCTAAAAGCACCAAAACAAAAGTAAACAGCACAAAAACAACGCACGTATCTTTGGGGATTTTTTCTGTGTGTGTGGCATGAGGGGGTGGAGAGTTTATCGAAAACAACAGAGCAATGAGCTTCTTTACCGACCTCTTTCTCCCATTTAATCAAACTCTTCTCCATTCTCCTGTGAGTACCAAGGCCCTCAAAGACAGTAGCAAATACGTAAGCTGTCCGTGAAAAACCAGCACTGCTGAAGTGACCAAAATGAGTGAATATCCAAACATTTGTTGACAAATATGTACTATTATATTTTTGTTTTTAATTTGACTTGTCCTTCGTGTGATACAATAAATATTTTTCCAAGTTGCCATGTATTTCTGTCTCCCAAGATGTGCTATTAATCAGTCTACTGATTATAATCCAATTAACCAATTAAAGGGAGAGCTGCACACCAAGAAAGGATAATTTATCATAAAGATAAAGTACGCGGGTAATTCAAAGTAAAACTTCAGGCTCGTTGAATAAGAACTGCATTCATTTAAGGATCATTGAATAGCTTTTGTTGACCAAAGTCTGATGCTGCAACATAGTTCTAACTTTGAGGCCTTTAGAAAGGGGCAATTAATTGGTAACATATTTGGGACACTTACCTGAGTTGCCCAAGCAAAAACATAAACTTCATTTTTATAAAAGAAAGGTTAAAGAAGTAGTTAAATCAGGTTAAATATTATTTCTTTGTCTTAATTTAATTTTATATCTTTTGTAATTATTAAGTGTGCTTCCACCTGATTCTATAAGACTTTTCTAATCTTTATACCACTTATGTGACAAATAGCATATGCTCTGTATGCTTATTGTCTGCCTGCCAGCTAGGTGATAGCTAAATTGGTTGGATCTATCTGTATAAATAATATCTACAATAAGTGCAGGGAAAGTGGATGAAATGAAATGAAAACAGTAGGGCAGAAAGGTCGTCGGCAAAGCCTGAGTCTTGTCCTCTCGCTCTCTTCACCAGACAGCTTGAGCTTCACCACTGGCTCCACCTTCTCCACAAAATACCAGTCCCTGGGCTCTGTCCAGGCGCCCAGCGAGGCGCCCAGCCGGTCAGCAGTGCGGCCAGCGTCTATGCAGGTGCCGGGGGCTCTGGTTCCCAGATCTCTGTGACCCGCTCCACCAGCTTCTGGGGTTGCATGGGGTCCAGGGGCTTGGCCATGGGGATGGCTGGGGATCTGGCAGGAATGGGAGGCATCCAGAATGAGAAGGAGACCATGCAAAGCCTGAACGACTGCCTGGCCCCCTACCTGGACAGAGTGAGGGGCCTGGAGACTGAGAACCAGAGGCTGGAGAGCAAAATCCCGGAGCACATGGAGAGGAAGGGACCCCAGGTCAGAGTCTGGAGCAATTACTTCAAGACCATCAAGGACCTGAGGGCTCAGATCTTTGCAAATAGTGTGGATAATGCCTGCATCATTCTGCAGATCGACAATGACCATCTTACTGCTGACGACTTTAGAGTCAAGTATGAGACAGAGCTGGCCATGCGCCAGTCTGTGGAGAGCCACATCCATGGGCTCTGCAAGGTCATCGATGACACCAATGTCACTTGGCTGCAGCTGGAGACAGAGATCAAGGCTCTCAAGAAGGAGCTGCTCTTCATGAAGAAGAACCATGAAGAGGAAGTAAAAGGCCTACAAGCCCAGATTGCCAGCTGTGGATTGACTGTGGAGATAGATGCCCCCAGATCTCAGGACCTCGCCAAGATCATGGCAGATATCCGGCCCCAATATAAATAGCTGGCTGGGAAGAACCAAGAGGAGCTGGACAAGTACTGGTCTCAGCAGATTGAGGACAGCACCAGAGTGGTCACCACGCAGTCCACCCAGGTTGGAGCTGCTGAATCAACACTCACGGAGCTGAGACGTACAGTCCAGTCCTTGGAGATGGATCTGGACTCCATGAGAAATCTGAAGGCCAGCTTGGAGAACCAGCCTGAGGGAGGTGGAGGCCCGCTACGCCCTGCAGATGGAGCAGCTCAATGGGATCCTGCTGCACCTGGAGGCAGCGCTGGCACAGACCTGGGCAAAGGGACAGTGCCAGGCCCAGGAGTACGAGGCCTTGCTGAACATCAAGGTCAAGTTGGAGGCTGAGATCGCCATCTACCGCCGCCTGCTGGAAGACAGTGAGGGCTTCAATCTTACTGATGCCCCGGACAGCAGCAACTCCATGCAAACCATCCACAAGACCACCACCTGCCAGATAGTGGATGGCAAAGTGGTGTCTGAGACCAACGACATCGAAGTTCTGAGGCATAAAGCCAGCGGAAGCAGGGTACCCTTTGGGGAGCAGGAGGCTAATAAAAGGTTCAGATATTAAAAAAAAAAGAAATTAATATAAATCATCAATAAGTTAAAGACTGATTTTGTCAAGAATAATTGAGAAACTGCAAAAACATCCGATCCCCAGTATAAATGATTAAATGCAATTGCCAAATTCTACAAAGAAATGGGGATCTATGTACAGTGCAGAAGATGTTTATATAAGACAGTATAGGGAGCATATTTACTCCAGTAAATTTTACAAGTTAGATACTTTTTCTAACCAATACAAATGACCAATATTGACTCCACTCAGGATGACCCACCATTTGATTTGCATGGGACTGAGGGAGTTCACAGGTGTGGGGCTTTCAGCACTAAAACTGTAAAAGTCAAGTGGAAAACTAGGATGCACTGGACATTCTAAATCATATGAAATAGGAGAATTGTATACATCACTGTGTGTTTAAATAAGTGAGTAGTCTAAATACTCATGCGCTTCACCATCAAACGTATCAGACCTGTGTCATTTTACAGCTGAGTTTTACCAAACCTTCAAGAGATAGTCCTCAGTTGATATAACTGTTTATGAAAGAAGAAAATAGCAAATTTTGCCTAACTGAATTATTAAATATATAGCAGAATATGAATAACAAACCTGGAAAATGACAGTATAAGGAAAATTTGAACAATTTCACTTTGAACATTTATACAAAAATCCTAATGACATATTAGCTTACTTAAGCCACAATATAGATGAAATATATATTATAATTATGTAAGATGAATCACAAATGTGAAAAAGTTACATCAGAGTTTATATCAATATAATTTACAACATTACTAGATTATAGGAAAGAAACCTATAACCATTTCAGTAGATGCAGAAAAAGCATTTAAGTTGTATGCTCACTTTGGAGTAAACCTGTTAGTAAATTAGAAATAAAAGGGAGTTATCTGATCTGAAATTTCTCCTATCAAAAGTCTATGAACAAATATTTATATAAAGCACTACAGGAATTAGCATTAAAGTCAGAGATATATTGTTTTACAACATTATAATGGTGGTACTAAACAATGCAATATGATAATTACATACATAATGTAAGAGAGTAAGAGATGAAGGTATTCTTAAGTAAGACATGAATATAAACACAGGAAATACAATGTAATAGAAAAAGTGATAGAAAGTATAAGAGAGTTTTGCAAAGTTACTGCACACAAGGTCAAATTACAGAATTAATCAGTGCTCTGCCCACCAGCAATATTCATTTAGAATATTTGGCAGAAAAGTTATCCCATACAAAATAACAACAAAAAATAGAGCTTCTAAAAAAGATGTAATAAATGTGCATGACATTGAAAGCAAATGAGCAAATAAAATCCAGGTGAATTAAAGACACAAATGTAAAAAAATAAAAATTGTATAATTTTTGAAGAAATTATAAGATACTTTGTCTTTGGGATATGGAATGATATCTTAAAGAAGATGAAAAAAGAATAAACCACAGGATAAATATTAATACATTCTATCACATTAATATTGATTATATCTTTGTCAAAAATTTCTACAAAAATGGAAAAATAGAAGGCCAGAAAAGAAGAAAATATTTTAATGCACATAAATTATAAAATGTGAATATTGAGAAGATATAAAAATTTACATATTACTAAATTAAAGATGACTAAAATCGTCAAAAATATTACTATGCAATTCTTAGAAAAGAAGTTCAAATGGTCACCAGTAATCATTGCAAGGTAAACTAAAATAACAATAAAAAATAATTGATCTTTTATCAGTTTAGCAAATATTTAAAAGTCTGAGCCAGGCACAGTGGCTCACGCCCGTAATCGCAGCACTTTGGGAGGCCAAGGCGGGCGGATCACGAGGTCAGGAGATCCAGACCATCTTGGCTAACACGGTGAAACCCCGTCTCTACTAAAAATACAAAAATTAGCCCGGCTTGGTGGCCGGCGCCTGTAGTCCCAGCTACTTGGGAGGCTGAGGCAGGGGAATGGCGTGAACCCGGGAGGTGGAGCTTGTAGTGCCACTGCACTCCAGCCTGGGCAACAGAGAGAGACTCCGCCTCAAAAAAAAAAAAAAAAAAAAAAAAGGGTCTGACAATAGCAAGCTTTGGTCAGGACATGGAAAAGAACTACTCTAATTTGCCTGTAGAAAGGTAAGTTGGTAGCACTTCGTGAACACAATTTTATGATACTCTCATTTGGCCCAGGAATTCTACTTCCAAACAACCTAAGGAGATACTCTTAAGAATGTTGAAAGTAAGGCTGGGTGTGGTGGCTCACGCCTGTAATCCCAGCACTTTGGGAGGCCAAGACGGGTGGATCACTTGAGGTCAAGAGTTCAAGACCAGCCTGGCCAACATGATGAAACTCTGTCTCTACCGAAAATACAAAAAAATTAGTCCGATGTGGTGGCACATGCCTGTAATCCCGTCTACTCGGGCGGCTGAGGCAGGAGAATCGCTTGAACCCAGGAGGCAGAGGTTGCAGTGAGCCGAGATTATGCCACTGCACTCCAGCCTGGGTGACAAAGCAAGACTCTGTCTCAAAAAAAAAAAAAAAAAAAAAAAAGTTGAAAGCAGAACTATTTATAACAGCAATATTTGAAAAAAACTATAAAGACCTGTTAATAGGAGATGGAGAAAATGTGATGCAGTGATGTAAGAGGTTACTTGATAATTAGTAAGAATCAAATAGATGCAGGGGTATCAATAAGAATAAATCTAAGAAACAAAAGAAATTATATTTAAAAGGCCGAGCAATTCAAATTGTATGATTAGTAATAATATTAAGGGTAAAGATAGGCACACCACTCTTAAAATTTCATGGATGCATATGTATGTCATCATTGTAGAAAAGCAACGTTAGACTGGGCATGGTGGCTCACACCAGTAATCCCAGTGCTTTGAAAAGCTGAAGTGGAAGGATCACTTGAGCCCAGGAATTCGAAGCTACAGTGAGCTATGATCCTGCCACTCCACTCCAGCCTGGAAAACAGAGTAAAATTCTGTCTCAAAAGGAAAATAGTGATAATCATATTTTTTTAAAAAAATGGCTAGAAAATATCCATGCTAATGTCTGAATGTTGATTACCATTTGAGGGAACGAGAGGCTGGATGTATATGGGCGCAATAAACTTTAACTCTATTTATAAGGTTTTATTTATTAAATAAAATCTGAAACAAAAAAGATAAAATATTAATGTAATATTTTAATTCTATGTGTTAGACATAATGAGAAGCATCATTTTATTCTAGGGATTTTCTGTTTATAAGATGTGACTCAAAAAGTGTTACAAAAACAAAAAGTAGTCTAAAACCTACATAACTTATATGCACCTTTAAAATTAAATTAATTCTACTAATATAATTATATTAAATATATCAAATATATTAATATTAAATATATTTAATATTATATTAAATATAATATATTAATATTTAATATATTTAATATAATATTAAATAAATATATTATAAATAAATTATAATATATAAATATATATTATGTATTTATGTATAATATATAAAAATTATATATAATATATATATTTTTATAAATATATAAATATATAATAAATAAATATATTAAATAAATAATAATATATTAAATATTAATATATTAAATATTATATATTAAATATAATATGTAATATGAAATATATTAAATATTATATATTAAATATAATATATAATGTGAAATATATTAAATATTATATATTAAATATAATATATAATATGAAATATATTAAATATTATATATTAAATATTATATATAATATGAAATATATTAAATATATTAAAAATAATATAATTATATTTAATTATATTAAAATTAAATATAATCCATTGAATGGATTATAGCTAAAGGATTGAAGAAATAATTCACATTGACTCCCACCCAGTCTCTCAGATTTCTTCTGACATACATTTAAACAAACAAAAAAAATGAACTGCTCCCTGGATACCTTTGTCTAAATGTTAGCAATCCTACAAATAATTTTCTTTCTCCTAATCTTATTCCTTCAAAGAATATTATTATTCTTCCTAATCTGATGGTCTTCTTCAGTCATTTCAGCTCTTCAGTGTTGTCTGGAAATTGCTTAGGAAATGCTTTGAGTTTTATATCAAAAATATCTCTGGAAAATTGCTTAGGAAATGCTTTGAGTTTTGTATCAAAAATATCTCTGGAACCTGGCACTTTGTTACCACTCGTGCTGCACATACATTAGTCAGAACCTAAACATTTCATCTATCTCTCTTCTAAATATAGGTGTTATAAAAATATAGAATATAATTTATATGTATATTCTACATACATTTATGTTATATATAAATTCATAGAATATGTACATTTATATTATGTCTAAATATACAATATCATGTATAATACCTACAAATGTACAAATACAGAGAAAGAGATATGGATAGTACAGTTGTCTCTTTTTAAAGGTAAAATGACTATAATGATTATAAAAATAACATGTATTCATTTTGTGTATTTCTAAACTTAAGCAATATAGGAAGGTTCAAAGAAGACAATATGAAATAACCTGTACATCAAACACCTATGACATGCAATTTGCCTGTGTGACAAACCTGCACATGTACCCTTGAACCTAAAATAATAGTTTAAAATATAAAAAAAAGAAGAAAGTAGAACCTCCCCAAATCTTCAGAATTCTCCTTCCGGAAATATTTTAAGCTTTAGTTTGACATTATTGATATGGTTTGGCTGGGTCCCCACCCAAATCTCATCTTGAATTGTAGTTTCCATAATCCCCACCTGTCATGGGAGGGACCCGATGGGAGGTAATTGAAATGAGATTCATGCTGTTCCCTGAGCTATCCTCGTGATAGTAAGGTCTCATGAGATTCGATGGTTTCATAAGGGGCTTCCCTCTTTGTTCGGCTCTCATTCTTCTTGCTGCCACCATATGAAGAAGGACGTGTTTGCTTCCCCTTGCACCGTGATTGTAAGTTTCTTGAGGTTTCCCCAGTCATGCTGAACCGTGAGTCAATTAAACCTGTTTTCTTTATAAATTACCCAGTCTCGGGTATGTCTTTATAAGCAGTATGAGAATGGACAAATATATAAATATGGAGGTATCTATCTATTTATCTCTCTATATATTTAGATTTTCCAAAATAGGACTATACTAATATGACAACGCTGCGTTAATAATGTATGAGTACCTTTATTTCCAACTTTAAACAAAAAATGATCTGCGGCAGAAATTAAAGAGCTGCTGAATTTCAGAAAAAGATTTGTTCAAAGGGGATTACTTTCAACAACTTTTTTGCTACTGTTAATGAGAGAATTATGCAAATCACTAAAAAATATGAACTCAGGTGTTTTAACTACAACTTTAAACATTATCTCTTAGTTCCTGTTTTTCCCATTTGCCCATTTTTTAAAGTTCGTATATAATTAGTTGAAAATTATTAGGGTTTATTATATGTGCCCTTCATCTTGTAGTATAATTTTAGTGCTTTTAAAGTTTATATTTAAATCGATGCTATGTTCACCACCAGTGAACATTCTGTATTCTTGAGTTTTTTTATTTTGTGTCATCACTTTTTGGATAGACAGCATTTTGTTATTTAGAAATGTTTTGCTCTTTGAGTTTGTGCTCATCGATATTGTATTTCCAAATTATTATATTACATGCAATTTGCCTGCAATTTGTGCAAAATACCTGCAATTTGCATTTGTCCTTCTGAGCTAAATTATCTCTTTAAAAACATTTTATGTGCTGTATGAATATAATATTCCTTTAATAAATTAGAATGTTAGGAATAATGTTGTTGTTTTTGAACACTAAATATAACTACTCCCCCTCTTCCTTTATGTGGAGTCAGCCTTTATGACAGATTTCCTATGTATACTTCATTTTTATACTATTACATATAGTCTATATGCCCATAGAAATCATACTTAGTATTGGTTTCTGATTGGGTTTATGTGTCTTTTAAAAAGTTTATATGTATGCTATCTTATTATACTTATCCTTCTTCCCCATTTAAAAAGTCATTAACTTGTGTTTTGAGCTTAATCCATGGCCAATGTCATATATACCATGTATATTGAACTATATAGCACTGGAACCCTACCTGTAACTACTATATGGTACTTTTATGTGAAGAGATATCTAGGTTGTTTATTCTGTTTCCCTATTATAAACAGTGCTATAATAAGCATAGTTTTATGTGTAACTTTATGCTTCTCTGAGCTAATTTCTTTAGGATAAGTACTTGATATGTTTAATAGTATTGTTGAGACATAGGACCTGAATATTATAACTTTTACTACATATTGTCAAATTGCCTGCAACTTAGCTTTACTGGTTTACTACTATCAAACTATAAATTTGTGTCTCAACTATTTTCAAACACTTGATGTTAGTGTTTCCTTTTCTCTGCAAACTCACAGCATCTGCTGGGTTTTTTTTTTTTTTTTTTTTTTTTAGTAATAGCCATTCTGACTGGTATGAGATGGCAAGACATTGTGGTTACTGTTGGTGGAAGTGTAAATTCAACCATTATGGAAAGCAGTATGACGGTTTCTCAGAAAGCTGAAAGCGGAACTCCCATTTGACCCAACAATCTCATTACCAGGTATATACTTAGAGGAATATAAATCATTCTACCATAATCGCTTCTCGGCCTTTTGGCTAAGATCAAGTGTAAATCATTCTACCATAAAGACAGATGCATCAGAACGTTCATTGCAGCATGATTCACAACAGCAAAGACGTGGAGTCAACCTAAATTCCCATCAATGACAGATATTGGATAAAGAAAATGTGGTACATATACACTATGGAAAACTATGCAGCCATAAAAAAGGAGATCAAGACTTTTGCAGGAACATAGATGGAGCTGGAGGCTATTCTCCTTTGCAAATTAATGCAGGAACAAAAAACCAAATATGGCATGTTCTCACTTACAAGTGGGAGCTAAATGATAAGAACTTATTAACCCAAATAAGGGAACAACAGGCACTGGGATCTACTTGAGGGTGGAGGGTGAGAAGAGGGACAGAAGAGGAAAAGATAACGACTGGGTACTGGGCTGAATACCTGGGTGATGAAATATTGTGTAAAACAAACGCCCATGACAGGAGTTCACCTATATAACAAACCTTCATATGCACCCCCAAACTGAAGAGTTTAAAAAGAAAACAACAGTTGATGTTAGAAGATATTAAAATTGTTGCCAGCCTAATTTATAAAGATTCTTTTCCTTAAATTTGAATGTTGATCTCTCTTATATTTTAACACTTTTCAAATCTATCTATTCTGTTCTCTTCTCCATAAATAATAATATATGTGTGTTGTATCACCTTTGTCCTATGTATCTTATTCAAATTACATTTTAATCTTCCTTATTCTCCATGTGTCTGTATAGCTGATATGGTTTGGCTGTGTTCCCACCCAAATCTCATCTTGAATTGTAGCTCCCATAATTACCATGTGTTGTGGGAGGGACCCTGTGGGAGATAATTGAATCATAGGGGCAGTTTTCCCCATACTGTTCTGGTAGTGAATAAGTCTCACAGGATCTGATGGTTTAATAAGGGGTTTCCCTTTACGCTGGGCTCTTATTCTGTCTTGCCTGCCACCATGTAAGATGTGACTTTCACCTTCCACCATGATTGTAAGGCCTCCCCAGTCACGTGGAACTGTGAGTCCATTAAACCTCTTTTTCTTTATAAACTACACAGTCTCAGGTATGTTTTATCAGCACTGCGAAAACAGACTAATAAAACAGCCTTCTCAAGCCTTCTACTTTATGCCAGATTAACTAATTTTTTTTCTATTCTGTTGATTGAACTATGACTTTTATCCCTGAAATGTTTTTATTTTGCCTTTCAGTGTATTCAAGGTTTTAAAAAATCTCCTTGGTTTGCTTTATAATCTCTTCTCTATAGCCTTAAATCTCTCCTTCTACTCTGTAGTTTTTATTTTTTTTAAGATTGTTATCAGTACAAGTTTTGAAATTATGAAGATTTGTCAAAAATATTTTATCCATTTCTTTGGTTGAATTTATGTGTAGTTTCTCCTATGGCCTTTTTCTTAATAACATTTATATTTGAATGGGACTGAGTATTTGCCAAGTTCTGTATGGAGGAGTGGGCTGGGAGTAACCTGAGGCAGCCTACAGAGCTGAGTCAAATCCCCCTACCCTCGCCAAAACCGCTTATTAAATCCGTTATGTTATTTGACTTTGAAACATGCTTCCTTTTAGGTTTCAGCTGCCAGCATGGTTCCTAGTGAAGCACCCTGTGCCTGGCAATTACAGCTTTATTCCCCATCCTTTCATCTTCTTAGATTGGAGACGATAAAAAAATGTTTCATTATGAGTTCTAACACTTCTAAGACTCCGGTTTTGATCACTGTCTAGCATGCTTAGCACTGAATATACATATTCAGTGATTATGTATTTAGATATGTAAAAGAAGCCAAAATATCAGTATCATGGTGTAAGATGCACTAAGATCTATAGACTATGACACAATAAATATTAGTATCAACTAATATTTTTATCACATGTGCTATTTTAAAATATTTTTATTTCTGACAGTGCCCTGTAATAGCTTCTCCAATCATATCTACCCACAAAATAAATAGTAATTATTAAGTAGAAATATCTTGTACATTTCTGATTTTAAAATGTTTACATCTGAACAGATGGCTTAACCATAACATTTCATATTATTTGTTAGAAATTGTGTCATTCTTCATTAGACTTTTAGTATAGCATAAATGATGGCAGAGATAAAACCGATGAATAAGTCAGTGACTCAATGTTATTAACCGTTACTGCTAAGGGAGTTGCTAAATCAGAATTCAGCATATTATAGGATAAACAGACTGATAAATAGGATGAAAATAGTTTCGCATCCTGAAGTAGCTAAATACACTGAATACTTTTGCTTAAAAAAAAACTTTCAATTACCTTTTTTGAAATTAAATTTTCTCTTCCCAAAATAGCCCCAGATGCTCTATTATTTTTTTAAAAAAACAACCATTTTTTAATGCATTTTCTGAAACCTTTCTTTGAGTGTGATCATGATCTCACAACTTAGCACTAAGCCAACATTATGTAATTATTCCACAGTGAACCATTCCCTGAGTGAAGCCATTTCCACTTTCATGAAGTCAGGCAGTCAGTGAGATGATAGATAATAAAGTTTGGATAGCTTTTGAATAGCTAATCAGATGCTATTTTGTAAGGCAGTTTCTTTCCTCATCTAGCTCAAGATATTACATACCTAATTATTAAGTTGCTATGCAGCATATTTCTGGCTGAGAAGTACGTATTTCAAAGTTTCTAGCTGCATGAAAATAGTTTATACTCTTGGTCAAGAGATGTCTATTTATTTTATCCTGCATCCTTTTGCTCGACGTACCTATCACTTACTACCCAGGTGGTTTGAAAAACACCCTGGGAAATTTTATTCAGTCTTTCATTTACTCAGTAAATTTATTTTTATTGGGATTGTGCATGCATTTCTACCAACATGCACATGAATATTTGCCAGTCCCATTGATAGAGACATTATACTCTAGATGCTTTGGGAATTGTATTTCAGATTCAAAATGATGTGATTTTAACAGATCTGCTGTACAACATATACTCAATTGTGAACTTAAAAATTTGTTAAGAGAGTAGATCTCAGGTTAAATGTTCTTACCACACACACACTATACAGAGGCGCAAACACATTTCTACCTTAATTACAGTAATAATTTCCTAGATGTACACATAAAAATGTATGCGCTAATTTCATCCATGTCCCTACAAAGGACGTGAACTCATCATTTTTTATGGCTGCATAGTATTCCATCATTCTCAGTAAACTATCGCAAGAACAAAAAACCAAACACTGCATATTCTCACTCACAGGTGGGAATTGAACAATGAGAACACATGGACACAGGAAGGGGAACATCACACTCTGGGGACTGTTGTGGAGTGGGGGAGGGGGGAGGGATAGCATTGGGAGATATACCTAATGCTAGATGACGAGTTAGTGGGTGCAGCGCGCCAGCATGGCACATGTATACGTATGTAACTAACCTGCACATTGTGCACATGTACCCTAAAACTTAAAGTATAATAATAATAAATTTTAAAAAAATGCAAAAATTAAAAAAAAAAGTGTGCTAAATATGTGCCATGTTTTTGTATATCATATGTACCTCTATGAAGCTGTTGAAAAAATTAAAAAATAAAATGTCAGTTGAGGTAAATCTTTTAAATTGAATTTACGCCTTACAGAGGGTAAATGATGACGCTTTCAGAATAAACTTCTGTGAACATTAGGGCAACCCCTTTCCTGTCTTTTGAAATTTTTGTACAACTATATCATTTGCAACTTTCCATGTCATATTTTTAGTTTTGATTATAAGTTTCTAAACATAATTTTATGAATATATAGATTCTCATTGGGAGCTTTGAGGTTTAACAGCTGCAGACTAGACTGTTGAAGGGCCTCAGAGAGTAGTTTTAGGGGTAGTAACATTTCAGGCCTGTGGTTCTTTCGGCTGCACAGGTTCTTCAATATTTAATAGGCTTCCAGGAATCTCCTCCTAGTAATATGGTAGATCAGGTTATTCACCAACTCTCACTGAAAACAGCTAAAAATAGTGATTGAACTATTTGTAAGTGTTCTTAAAAGCATAAAACAAAACAGCAAACAAAAAACAAAAAAAACAGTAAGAGCCATCAAGCTTAACCCTCGCTAAAGGCTAGAACCTGGAGGACTTGTCAGGTGAGCTAAATTTTGTTGGTGTTTCTATGTTCTCACTGGAGGCAAGGGCTACTAAAGACAAATCTCAGCACTTGTGCATGATGAAGATTTATTATGAGACCCTTCTGCCCACACCTACTAATCTGAGAGCTACATCTTCTTTAGAACCAGGAGTAAATACACCCCACCCAGCGCCTCCAGGGAATTAAAAAGCAAGTTATCCTAGTGCTGAGTGTCACACTGCAAGAAAGCCTCACCTGTGAGCTCTTATGTGAATTTGAGCCCAGTTCATGTTACCAGGGTTTACAGTAGTCTTAGATAGCTGTCAGAAACAGATGTAAATCCTTTTTGGAAGAATACGGGTATTCATTCTAGATCTTAAATATGTCTTATAAATAATTCTACGAGGCTCAACATATTAAGGCCAAATAGTATTACATACTAAGGAAGTTTGCCACCCAAATCAAGAGCTAGCATAAAAACAGAAGATCTCAAAACATTTCAGATGTTAATATTTTCAAATATAGGTTTTAGTATATTTCAGCTTTCTTAAAATATATGAATTTAAATTAGAGACTCACTAAATGGATGTTTATATAATTAGACCAGAAGGGAATAACAGATTATAGAGGAAAGAAAACATTTTACAGAAAATGATTTAAAATTTTCAAGTTAATGTAAAAAACAAAAGCAAACAAACAAATATTTTTTAAAATTTCCAAGTTAGGACAAATAGAAATCCACACTTAGAAATATATTGTGAAATAATAGAACATAAAAGACATTAGAAGATTTTGAAAGTCCTGGAAGCCATCAACAATATGTAAAATGTAATATAATTTCAATGGGATATTATTTAAAATATACAAATAAAAACATACATTGTATAACTTTATTAAAACATACCAATAGGTCTTAATATGCAATGGCATGGAGATGTCAATAGTCTCCAAATCAATTTATAAATTCTATGCATTTCCAATCAATATACCAACAAAGTTTTTTTTTTCTTCTGTGGAAAATGATGGTATTTCTACCATTTACATAGAAGAAAGAAAGGATAAAAATAGCTAAGACTTTTTTTTTTTTTTTTTGAGACGGAGTCTCTCTCTGTCACCCAGGCTGGAGTGCAGTGGTGCGATTTCTGCTCACTGCAAGCTCTGCTTCCCGGGTTCACGCGATTCTCCTGCCTCAGCTTCCTGAGTAGCTGGGATTACAGGCACCCGCCACCATGCCCTGATAATTTTTTGTATTTTTAGTAGAGACTGGGTTTCACCATGTTAGCCAGGATGGTCTCGATCTCCTGACCTCGTGATCCGCCCGCCTCGGCCTTCCAAAGTGCTGGGATTACAGGCGTGAGACAATTTTTAAGAAGGATAAAAAGTGACAGGACTTTTCCAACAAGTTACAGAGAGTTATCTTAAACCCATAGCAATTAATATATTGTGATATTGATATAGTCATTTACAAATAGAGTAAAGGAAAAGAGTAGCACGTCCAAATGCTTACTCACATGAGGCAAATTGATGTTTGACTGAGGTAGTAATGCATGTCAAAGGGAAAGGAAGGATGGTCAAGGAATCACACAGAGTTAGTTAGACCATATGGCAACAAATATAATTATATTCTTACTGTATACCAAATACCAAAATAATTCCAGGAAGATAAAGATATTAAACATGTAACTGAATTTTTACAATTTCAAAAAGAATGGGGGAGGATTTCTATATAACATCAGAGACTAATTGATTTATTAAATAAAATGCAAAAAGCACAAAAAGTCCAGGACATAATTCACGTTATATCATATTAAAATGGGAAATTTTTGTTTATCAAAAGTACCATAAATTGCCAGGCATGGTGACGCACACCTGTAATCCAAGCACTTTTTGAGGTCGAGGCGGGAGGATCACTTGAGCCTGGGAGTTGGAGACCAGTCTGGGTAACATGGCAAAAACCCATTTCTACGAAAGAAATACCAAATATTAGCCAGGCATGGTGGCATGCACTTGTAGTCCCAGCTGCTCGGGTAGCTGAGGTGGGAGGATCATCTGAGTCCAAGATGTCAAGACTGCAGTGCAGTGAGCTGTCATCACACCACTATGCTCCAGCCTAGGTAACAGAGCAAGATCCTGCCTCAAAAAAAAAAAAAAAAAAAAAACCAAAAAAAAAAAAACCTACCACAAATAATAAAATGGGCAACAAATAAAAAATATTGGCTGGGCGCGGTGGCTCACGCCTGGAATCCCAGCACTTTGGGAAGCCAAGGTGGGCAGATCACCTGAGGTCAGGAGTTTGAGACCAGCCTGACCAACATGGAAAAACCCCATCTCTACTAAAAATACAAAATTAGCCATGCGTGGTGGTGCATGCCTGTAATCCCAGCTACTCGGGAGGCTGAGGCAGGAGAATCACTTGAACCTGGGAGGCAGAGGTTGTAGTGAGCCGAGGTCGCACCACTGCACTCCAGCCTGGGCAACAAGATGGGCAACAAGAGCGAAACTCCCACTCAAAAAGAAAAAAAAGAAAAAGAAAATATTTGCAACATATGTGACTGACAAAGGCTTGGTAACCAGAAAGTCTACACAACCTTTAAAATCAAAAAGAAAAGAGCCAAAAATGTAACTAAAAAATAAGCAAAAGAGATGAACCAAACATCAAAGAAGAGGAAGAAATGACAAACCTATGATAAAGAATTTCAAAACCAGAAATCAGGGAAGTGCAAATCAAGACCACAATAAAGTATCATTTTAAACTCAAAAGGTGAACAAAAATTTGAAGAACTGGCAATATCAACTATTGATGGGGATTTGAATCAGCAGGGCATGCTTAGTTATTCCTAGTGGTTATAGAACAAGTTAGAGTCACATTTGGCATTAATTTATAAAATGGAACACACACATATTCCAGTACCCAGATATCAAATTTAAACACCCAAGGGAAACTGGCAAATGCATGGGTGAAGAGAATTGTACAACAATGTCCAGAGCAGCATTGCTTGTCAAAGGAAAAAAATATAAAAACAACTCAAATGTTAAAACAAACCAAATATCCAGGAAAATGCATAGTGCTTTGCATATCCACATAACAGATTGGTGTATGTGTATTATATACCATTTAATATCTATAAAAATAACTATTTTCTAAAGAATAATCACAGATGGCAAAATTATCACATTATTATAAGTAATGATAGAATTCAAGATCCTCTGTTTTTTAAACTCATATTTGTTCACAGTAAGTGCCCTTGAATTTACAGTTTATTACAGCCCCTTTAAAAATGGCTTTAAAATTTAACAAATTATATGTTATTCCAAATATAACAGATACAGATGGCTTTTACTCATTCCCTTTGTTTCTTATTTTTTCTAAAGTTTTAAAAAATATTTTAATTAGAAAAATATTTACTTCAATTGAGACTATGCATAGAAACAATTCTAGGGATTTGAATTTAATTATTTTTAATTAATGTGAAATTTTTTCTTGATAGGGTATAGAAGTTGATCGTTGAAAAAGTATAAATACATTTTGAGCATGAGTATAGCTGGAGTTGTGTTACCAGTGGTAAAATAAACATCCAGGTAAAATGGAATACTCAGTCTTTTGAATTATTAATTATTTCATGACATTGCATAAATAATGTCTTTGGCTCCTTGGATCACAGATTTTCATAAATCCTCCCAGTCAGAAGGCTAATATATATTTTACATTTTAGAATGGAGAATTTTCATTATAAGATGCTGATGGTTACCTGTAACTAAAATATAAGGCTTTCTGCAAATCTAAAAATCCATGAATACCTGAGATATGTGTGTGTGTGTGTGTGTGTGTGTGTGTGTGTGTGTGTATTAAAGAGTAATACATACATAATGCATAATGGAGCTACTTCCAAAATAAAAGCAAAACTTTCATTTAAAGTCACTTGTATTGTGAAAGTCAAGAACATAAAAGTAAGAATTTTGTTCAGAAGTTTTATTATAATTTTCAAATGCTTCTACTCTGATATTTCACTAAATTATTAAAATACTGTTTTATATTGTTGATAAAATCAGGGCACATGGATGTTTAGTGTTTATGCATACTGATGTGAAGAAGCAGTTCTGTTGTGTTGCAAAAAGGAGAACTGGATGGTTGTATGAATGGAACAATGATGGTTCAACTATTGCAGAGGCACTTATTTCTCTCTTGAAATTTGTTGATTTCTATATAACATTTTCAGAGATATAAGAAATTTTGTTATTGCAAACAGTATTAAACACGTCTTGTGTATGTTGCTTAAACTGTGATTGGTAGAAAATCCTTGTGTACCTGTAACAGAGTTTACTGACACAAAGACAAAGTTTCTCCCTCAATTACATTACTCTGCTCTAATCTACTCCGGATGCATCATCTCAAGTTGCTCTTTCTCCCAGGAATTGCACCTAAATAATTTTCCTCACGTAGTTTCTCATTGTAATTGTTTTTGAGCATTGGAATTGTCATGCATCATTGGAGGTGTTACGAGAAACACACAGAATGATAAATGTGTGTACTCTCCCCTCTATCACCCTGACACTGGCAATAGAATTATTCCAGGTGAGATCTGGGGGTAGGTGAGGTAAAATCCATTCATAGAAGTGGGAATACATAGATTCATCAAATAAATGGTAACAAGTAAATAATTCTGGCTCTGAGGAAGTGGGAGTTGTTGTATTTATAAAAATATTTAATACCCTAGAGCATATGAGATGTAGCTTTTATTGCACATGTGGTTTTAGTAAGTCAGATCCTCTGTTTTTTAAACTCATATTTGTTCACAGTAAGTGCCCTTGAATTTACAGTTTATTAAGTATCTTTTTTTCTTTTTTCCGAGGATGAGTCTTAAAATTTTGACAGAAACAGTACTGGAGCAATTTACATAAGGAGTAAAATCAACTTTCTTATGTTTTATCTAGAGATTCCTTACTTAATTTGTGTTTAATAAAGTTTATTTGAAAACTAGAAATTATCAAAAATTTAATGTCAATAACATTTCTTAAAGAAATTAGGCCTAGGGATTTATAAATAGCTGAATCTATGACAGAGAATAATTCAAGGATCCCTAAATATTTTATGATTTTGTTCTCTGTAAACTTATGGACTCTAGTCAAATAACAGCACAAAAATTATAGCATCTTCAAGATGTAGTTCCTGGATATAAAGATAATTATATTAATATAAGATAATTATATTAATACGTACTAAATATTTATTAATGTTGCAATGTATTTACCAAAAAAAATTCGTTTTTGGTGGGGTTACAAAATGTATGCTTAATAGCTGTAGTGTTAACTTTTATATATTCTGATGATTATATAATAGACTCAAATGAGCATACAAACACTAGCGCTTAATTATAGGCAAATTAGAATTGATACTATTTAAATTCTTCAATTGTTAGTGTGTTAACTTTGGAGATTCCTAGAGTGTCCTGTACCGTTCGTTTTCTGTGTGACAAAGCTGCCTGTAAAATATTTAGCACGAGACTTTTTATATAGGAGGTTTACACTTTGACGTCTGAGATGGAGCCATCAGGGTTGCTGTACTTGATAACATTTTATGCCAAGATTATTCCATAATTTCTGGGTGTTCCATTTGTCTAGCGGTGACTAGCTCCACTTACCTGTGGACCATGCAAAAGTTTCATCCAAGATAGGGCCCTCCTCTCCTTACATTTCATCTAGAACAATAACCAAGGTAAGGTGATCCAATAGTAGAACTATCCTGCTCCAGGAGAAAAGAATTCACCAAAATAACTGTAGGTTCTAATTGGTACGTATCAGCAGGTACTGAGATCCTGGGATTGGATCTGGAGTGTGCTTGTTCATGGGTACAGATAAATATAAAATTTGATAAGGGAGTTATTGAAATTGGATATTAGATAAAATATATCTTCTCATCAAGGAAATCTGGAGATCGTATTGATACATTGCTAAGGTAGTTCCTTAAAGCTTGAGAAGAAAAAATTCTCTAGTAAATGAGATACAGGTGCTGGAATTGCCATAGAAGAGTATAAGGAAGGGCTGAACGTACTCGGAGATTAAGGCTTGTTAGAATAGATATATTCTGTTATATCAGAGAATGCTTTAGATAATTATGTTCCCCAAGTGCCCAGAAGAGGCCCACTCTGTAGAGTACTGGGAATGCTCTAGTATGGGAGCATAGTCATTGTTGAGAATCCCGGTGAGATCTATTCTCCATAGGCCAGGTTTACCAATAGGAGAGTTTTCAATAGAATTGGACTTCCAAATATTAATAGAAATCTTAGAATTTTCAAAAAAAGCAGCAAATAACTGTGAACAGCAGAATGGTGTATTTATTGTTTTGGGAAACAAGACCAGACTGAAAACCAAGGGCTCCTGAGGTCCACCTGTTTGTTACACCTCTTTGGATTTTGGAGACTGTGATGTTGAGATCTCTATATCTATCCATCATCTATCTATCTATTCATCTACCTATCATCTATCTATCTATTCATCTATTATCTATCTATTCATCTATCATCTATCTATCTATTCATCTATCTGTCTCTGTCTAATATCTATCTATCTTTAATAGCAATCTATCATCTATTTATCTCTAATATCTATCTATCTATCTATCTGTGTATCATCTATATCTATTTATAGTTTCTAGATAGCTGAACACGTGGAGGCTGACAGGTGAAGAAGAACTCATCCATCCACGTTCTGGAGGGGTGTTGGCACATCCCCAACTCCATGGGGATGGAAGCTCCTGCACTTGGGACCCTTCCAGATCTCACCATATGTATCTCTTCATCTGGCTGTTTATTTCTATCCTTTAAAATATCCTTCATAGTAAGCCAGTAAGTGTAAATATTTTCCCTAGATCTGTGAGCTGCTCTAGCAAATTAATTAGACCCAAAGAGGGGGTTGTGAAAATCTCAACTTGAAGCCAGTGGATCATAAGTTCCCCCAGACTTGTGACAGTGAGGAAGGAGGGGAGGTTTTGTGGGACTGAGCCTTCCCCTGTGGGATCTGACACTATCTCCAGGTAGACAGTGTTGGAGTTGAATTGGAGGACACATAGCTGGTGTCCATTTCTTGCTGTATGTGGAAAACCCCCCATACGTTTGGCCACAGAAGTCTTCTTCCGTGTTAATAATTGGAATTGTGTAAGAGCAGAAGAAAAGCAGAGCTTGAGAGTTTGTTTGTTTGTTTCTCTGAAAGGTCTAGTATCCATGCAATGCTGGGGAACACTCCTCTGAGTAAGCTTTATCCAAAGAGAGTTCTTCAACAGGTTCAGGCTGTAGAATAGCAGCCTGGCTGTTTTCTGACATGTGCACTGGCAAATCCCATGGTGCTTGAGGTATTTGGGATAGATAAGGATGCTGTGTGGACTCTCTGGCAAGCCCCAGTAGAAGAGCCATGGTGTAGACCTAGGGTTCTGCGACTGTTCACTATTCAAAAACAGCCTCTAGCTTCGGTGGCATCAAACACAGCAGTTTCTGAGCATGTCCTTCATCATGTGACTATGAAAATAGAGCTGCCCATATTGACAGGTCATTTTGTAAAGTCAAATCTACAGATCTATAATATTGGGTAGGCACAGAGGCAATTCATCATGTGATAGAAATAGCAAATTGGGGATTCGTTCAAGTTGGTTTGAAAGGCACAAGTGAATATGTAAATACATTTGGCCGTCTCCTGCAACGGGTGTCACCTAGCTCATTGCACAGCCATTTGTTACTTAGCTCACATCTAATTTTTTTTGTGGGACTACCACAACTGGATGATAAGGAAGGAAGAAACACAGTTCATGGATGAATAAGATCAATAGGTTGGTATGAGCAGAAAATAGGTTGCTCCTGCAAAAAGGCCCAGCACAGAAGTATCTCTGAAAGAAAGAAGTAAAGAGAAAATTCTCCTATGGTGGGCAGAGATTGGAAATGGACACACAGTGATCTACTTGGTATAGAAGGAGAAATGGCTTGCAGCAAGGATATGCACAGGCTCTTGGTCAGTAGCAAATTGCCCTGCCTGGTGGAACAGGATCTAAGAAAGTGAGATTGGAAAAATAGAGACAAAGAATACAGGGGAAGAGGCATACGGCTGGACCTATGGGAATAGACACCGAATGTGTGGATATTTGGTTTTCCCATTGGTTCCGCCAGAACACATCCACCCCAGTGGAGCAACTGAACAACCATGCAGATAGAATGACTTGGGTAGGGCATGTCATCCAGCCTCTGTCTTTAGCCAGCTCTGTGCTTGGGTGTTGTGCACATGAATGGAGTAACCCTGGGGCAGGGTTGGAAGTTACGGATGGCTAGCAAGCTACTTGAATACCAATTCTGGCAGTAGGAAAGGAAACAGAATGGCTGGTATACAAGGGGATGATAACCAGCAATGACACTCTCTTGGAACCTACTATTCACCCCATTACAAATCATTGTTTTGTTGTTGGTTTTTTTTTGTTTGTTTTTAAGGAACTGTGACCAGTCACAAATACAAAGACAGAAGACGTTAGACTTAGTGTGTGTCATAAATGCATCTGAGCAGTACAAGAGGTGGGCTACAGCAGGCATTGTAGGTGCACAGCCCCTAGCCCCTCATCATTATAACTGGAGGCTCCATGGAAAGCACCTGCCAGTTGGACTGAAGATTCTTTTTTCCGGCTAAGGGAATATGCCGGGCCTGTATACATGATAAACTAAAAGTAATAGAGATTTAATTCTAGAAATCACCTTCAATTAAAGAAAAATGGGGATCTGGTAGATTCAAACCCCAGTTTCCTCATCACTCGTTAAGGATCGCTCCAAGGCTGAGCTCTCCTGTTTCCCAGAATTCCCAGTGCACTCCAGCTCCAGGGTCTGTCGGTGGTAAGAGGTAAGTAGATGCCTTTCCATTCCTGGGATCACCTACCAATGAAACTGCTTGTCCACTTGTCATCAGTTCTTCATCTCAGGATCTTCTGGGAGAAAAAATCCATCACACATTAAAAACAATCTATTTTCTATAGTTAAATGAAACATGCATTCTGAATGTTGTGTCAGTAACTTTCTCATGTGGATTATTTACTTATGTCCTGATTTTCCCATTTAGATCCTTATTTTTCCATGACTTCTCCTTCAGTAACATCTGAATAACAAGAACTCAAAATATAAAAGAGCAATGAAAGAAGTACCCAAATCAGTAGAGTGAATCAAATCTGCATGAGAAATGCAAGGTCATAAATATTTATGTAGGCTTTTCCTCAATTTTTGCCCTATGAAGGAATGACCCTTAGGTTCAGAAGTATTCTAGACCATATTAAGTGCCACAGAAGGTTCTCACTCTCTATAGCTACCTTCTCATTCAATTACAACATAATGTAGTTAGATTTCATGCATGTATGTGGAAAGAGATGTTTGAATGCATAGCTTGTCCGAAAGCTAAAAAAAGTATGAACCCTGGACTATAAAATGGGTTCACAAGGATTAAGTTTTTCTATTCCAGTCTTCCAAATGGCATTTTCATCTCTAGAAATTTGAGAGAGAAATTGACTGTCTTCATATGTGAATGGCTCTTCAATTACTTTTTAATGCAAACTCACGCTATGTAAAATAAGCGCTTTATTTTATATAGTAGTAATTCAACTACTGAACATATTTGAGAAACACTTACTTTTTGTGGATTTATACAAAATTGCTATTGCAATTAATGTCAGGATGGCAAAGATAAGGACCACAGTCCATTAACACTTAGCAACCCTAGCAGCTTGACCAGTGACTGGAAATACAGTGCTGATGAATTTCATACATAATATTTAAGAAAAGCTATAAGCTATTAATTTGCAACATACTTCACTAAGCAAATGGAATTAGCAATAGTGAAGGATAAAAATCTTTTGAGCATATGTTAGGTTTTGTTAATGAAATAAGACAACTTCTTTGAAAAAGTAAAAACTTTGAAATACATATCCACCAAGGAGTTCTTGTATGCCCAAAGTCAAAATCATTTTGCCACTATAGACAGATAGTTTGTCTTTTGAAAGAAAACATCATCATAATAGTGTTGGAAAAGTCTATTCCAGATCAATGTTTGTGTGTACTTGTGAAAACTTTCCTTTTATTTTTTATATAAAGTGTTTATATCTTGGGAACTTAAGATTTTTCCTTTCCTATTTTCTTGTTTCTCTAGTCATTTTCCATAGATAATGCTTGCAAAGGAAGTTAAACGTGATGTTTTTTCTCATCATAATTGGTCCAGTGAATTTTTGTCCTCCTCAAGACCAGTAGTACATGTTCCATCGATCTCCTCCTAACTTCAATTTCTTCCTATAAAAGATAGATTCCATGATTAATAACTTCAATTACCTTCTTGTCACTATTACCAATGTCCTTGCCTCGTTGTTCCAGTGATACAGGCAGCTGGCAAAAGAAACTTGAGGAGAAAAATCAGAAAACTCTGTACTATATCTTAGTATTGACTTGACATTCTCGATGCTTCCCTAGCTAATATGTTTTCGTATGATCACAAGGAGCTAGTTTAAACTCCTATATTATAATACACTTACCTCTGCCACCTGTTAAAGTTATCATTCTCAGAAGATGGTCTCACTCACATATCACGTCGCAGCCAGCAATTTTATAATAGCATTTTCACAAACTCTGTCCAGCTTTCCAAACTTTTACCTTCTGTGATTGTATTCATTTTCATTTATTCTTCTACATTTTGGACATCAGTGCTGCTTATGATTATTATAATTTAAACTTCCCTACTGAGTCTTCTACACTTGCGTGCATCTTTGAGGCAGTATACCTACCATGGAGGTGAGCTTCTTTCACTTTCATGGTGTAGTTACAAGCTGCCTATGAAGAAATTTTTTCTCTTTGAGGTGCCAACTGGAACTTTCATTCGGCAGGTCTTCTTTTCTTAACTGGTAATAAACTTGAATGACTACGAAAGGACACAGCTGGCTTCAGATTCACTTAGAAGGATACGATGCTAGTGAATGCTGCATTTCTGCATGTCAGCACAAGCCATTTCTTACTCGTGAAAGCCCTCACAGCAGTCCTACAGTAGTGCAAGGCCTGTGGACTCTAGAGTAATTCTGTCTAGTTCTCTCCCTGGTGCCTTTTACCAGCTGTGACCCCTGGAATCATAACTCACTCTATTTCAATTTTCTCACTTAAAACATAGAGACAAATATCATAATTCACCTAGGATAGTTTTGTTGAGGGCTAAACAAAATAAACTAATGTAAAAGACCCTCTGGTAAGTGTACAATAGTTATTGCCAAAAATATTATTCTGTACTAACTTAATAAACTTTTCACTATTTTGCCTATATATGAATAATTTTTCCTTGAAGGTCTATCTGAAATGTTACTTCCTCTGTAGTTTGTCCTGAGGCCCGCCTCAATTCATATTCCTACAACTCATAACCATAACCACCATAATCAATATTATATCATTTATATTTTATTACCATACATGTTTATATTTTGTATGAAAATATTCACTCACACTACTTCCTAAACTCTTCAAAAAACCAGCAAATACCACAGTGCATACCATATGAAAATAATTAAATCAATATTTCTAAATAAGCAAGTTTTATTTCAAAGACTCCCTTTTAAAATATATGTGTTAAATTTTAAAAAATAAATGGCTAGTTGTTGGGTTTGGGAAATATAAGTAGTAAAATTGAATTTTAGTCAAATTTATCTATAGTAAATTTACCCTTCTGTACAGAGTATACATTTTTAATAGAGGCTAGAACTTCTGTAGGTTATTTGGGAGAAAGTTTCTAACCCATGTAGAATATAAAGCTAAAGAGACATCAATAATATTTTGTATATAATATGCTCTTGTAATGGAATCCTGTTACAACTTAAAAATGTATTTTCTATTATGGAAGCTACTAGCCAAATGTGGCTCTTCAGCACTTGAAACGGAGTTGGTCAAAATTAAAGTGTGCTCTAAATATAAAATAGACTATAGAGTTAGAAGATGTAATATAAAACAAAGATTATAAGATACCTCATTAATCAAATTTTATATTGATTTTATAATCAAAGTGTATTTTGAATATATTGAGTTAAATTCTGTACTGTTAAAATTCACTTCACTTCTTTTTTCTATATGGCTTCTGGATAGTATACAGTTACACATGTAGTTTGTGTTTTATTACTACTGGGAAGTGCTGTTATAGATAATGAGTCACAAGTAAAGAGGGAATTGAGGTGGTGTCCAGTTGTATAGCTAAAAAGGATTACAAATATAAATAGGATATGAGCGAATTAATTTGATAGTACCCTCATTCATTTTTAAAATATTTCATTTCTAGCTTCTATTGTTCGTTTGTTTATTGGTTTAGACAATATTTTTTTTCTCAAATTACAAATATGTAACTGACTCCAACTTTATTTTTCAAACTTTTCAAGTGTCTTAATGATGTTTAGAAAATGAAAGTATAAGTTTTACTCAGTGGGAGACAAAATGGCCTTACACATATTTTGCTGATATAGGATTGAAACCACTTTTGCAAAATTATAACAATGAGAGAAATCTAACATAATTGACTCCATCTTGCTTCTAACCTCACAAGCTAACCGTCTTTGCTTATTTCTGTATGTAGGCCAAGCTAACTATGGGAGGAATTTAGTTTATAGTTTAACCTTAAAGAAAAAATAATAATAGTCCCTTCCTGAAACTTACCTTCCCTCCTTGTTCAGGGATAGAAACTGCCTTTGTAAAATTAATGAAAGGCTACAAGGTTAGAATTATGGTAGTGGCTTGAATTCTGCTAAGACTTAGGCATAGCTAAACAATAACTAGTCATTGTTTTCTAACTTGCTTTTTTGGAATTGCATACTACTCAGGAGTCATGTAGCTGGTAGCCACAAGATTTGTAACTTCCCCAGTTGCCCCTGTAGACAACATCACTACTGTGAAACCTAAGACTGATGTTTGAGATATTTTTCAGAACTTCCATTCTGGTGGACCAACTGATGCCACCTGGACTGGTGACCCATATCAACAAACTCACTCAGCTGGTCCTATGACCCTCCACCCAGGAGCTGACTCAGTACATGAAGACAGTTTCAACACTCCTATAATTTCATCTTGAACCCAAACAATCAGCTTTGCCTATTCCCTACTTCCCTGCTGCCAAACCATTTGGGAGGCTGAGGCTGGCAGATCATGAGGTCAGGAGATTGAGACTATCCTGGCTAACACAGTGAAACCCCATCTCTACTAAAAATACGAAAAAAAGTAGCCAGGCATGGTGGTGGGTGCCTGTAGTCCCAGCTACTCGGGAGGCTGAGGCAGGAGAATGGCATGAACCTGGGAGGCAGAGCTTGCAGTGAACCAAGATCACACCACTGCACTCCAGCCTGGGTGACAGAGTGAGACTCCGTATCAAAACAAACAAAACAAACAAACAAAAAACCCTGGCCTCCAAATTCTCAGGGAGGTGGGTTTGAGAAATATCCCCTGGTCTGCTCACTCAGCTGCCCAGAAATTATTAAACTCTTTCTCTACTGCAACACCTGCTGTCTCAATTCATTGGCTTTTTCTGTGCAGTAGGCAAGAAGAGCCTATTGGGCTGTGACAGGATCATTATATTTCATACATAAGTTTATGAACATTATTTATTAACAAAAAGAAAAAAACTTCTGGGAAATTTTTTTACCATGTTACCTGAGGAAAGATTGCCTGAAGTGTGATACTTTTTAAAGAGCAAAGTAAGCACACACACAAAAAAGTTGCACCTGAAGTTTATGATGTTCTCTATATTTTGTTTAGAATTGATCTGGTGAGATGACTTTATATTTTCAATTTTTGTAGACTCCTAATAAATGCCAAGTAGACCCCAGTACTCAAATGTTACAGAAAAATAATTAGTATTGAATAACTAGTTTAATTTTAACCCACAAATTGAATATATGTATCTAAATGTTTATGTGTTTAAACAAAAATATTGTATGACTTATTAAATATTTTAGATAAGCTTGACTAAAATTCAATTTCACTGTGATAGCAAGAATAGTTCAATTTTTTCTCCTCTCAGTTATGATTGCTTTTCTTTGATGAAACTCTCAGTTATGTACCACAATTATAACACAAAGAAAAAATAATCTGGTCTATAAAAACATGTAAATATTGAAGACTATGCCAGAATTTGGCAGAAAATATATATAATTGTTTGTGGCAAAATAATTGCAATATTAAATCTGCAACGAATTGCAAAAAGCAAATAAACTTACCATAACAAATTATTAATCTAAAATTTCAATTATTTTTTCTGGGTTTCTTGCTGGATTAAATACATCAGACCCTATTCACAAATCAAACGTATCTAATGTATTTTACATGGAACAATGAACTATTCATTGATATTTAAAAGGAAGTAGAAAAATCTTACTCCCTACATGCAAATTTATCTATCTGGATTATTTCATGGATAGAAAATAAGGCAATGAAGTCCTCAAGAAAATAAAATGTTTTGCTGACTAAGGTTAAAACTTGCTCTGAAGATATATTTCTCTCATTTTTGCCCTTTATTTAGAATAATAATTCTAGCATTTGAGAATGTGTCCCTTTATTTAGAAGGGTAACTCTAACGCCCCCGTTAGAAAAGCATATTCTCACATTCCACCCTGAACTCCCTGCGTAATAATTTTGGGAATAGGGCCCAGCAATTAGCATTTTACAATCCCTCCAGGGGATTCTCATTCTTTCTAAAATGTAAGAATCCCTGCAATAGAGTATGTTTTGGCCTATTTTTTGTCACCATAGGATGAGAGGAATCTACCAGCAAACAAAGAGTCAAGAAATTTCATGGAAATTAGTAAATAAATTGTCTCTCAAAGAGTCTACTAAGAATCTATTACCTATAGGGAATGCAGACTCACAGGAAGACAAATATAGCAAGCAATTCTTAGAGCTTTCACCACACTATCATCCTGAAATTTACATGACCTCACTACATGAGGGAGAAAACAACATAAGAGCAGATGTCTTCTTTTTAAAGGCTTCTGTAAATCATCTTTATTCAGTAGATATTTTATTGTCCTAGATGTATTACAAAAACGAATACTTAAATTGCGTTAGTATCCATTTATTTTGGTAATATTTTATCTAACCATCAAATTTATACATGGGAAGATGATTTGTCAAATCCACTTTTTTCTATGAAATTAAAGCTATTCATTTCATATAATGCACACTTTCTTGAAATAGAACACAAACTACTTGTGAGTTAAAATGTGTTGCACATGTATGTGTGATAAATGTCTCTGACATTTTCATCTCAGAGTTGGTGAAAATGTTCTTACTACCTGTTTGTTTTACACTGATACTGTAGTTAATCTATGATATTATTTCAAATTGAATTTAAGCAAAAATCGACTAAAGTAAGCACTAAAGAAACAATAGGTTAAGAAAATGGTATTTAAAATTGTATAGGTAATAAATTATCAAGATGTTTGACTCTTAGAACCCAGTGGAAAACTGAAGATTCAAATACAGAATATTAAAATTAACTTTAAAAGAGAAATGATGCACTTTATTTTAGGGGGAATGATATTTACAATGTTATTATCAATTAAAACTAATTACGATAAATTTCCTTTGGAAATACAAATGCTATCAAAACTCAATATCACTAATTTGCCATGATTAAAATTATTTTCCTTTTTATCTTGCCAACAGATTATTAATTAAATAACTGATTCTCATATACACCCTTACCCTTTCTCCATTCCTTAGTACAATTATAGCTGAGCTTAAAGAAGACAGAGATCATCTATTTTTTTACATCAAATGAAAAATTTACATAAGTGTTATGTACAGATTACATAAAATACAATCCATTACTTATTCTCTCAACTACACATCAGTGCTCAGAAATTAAGCAGCTGTCAAGCTTTTAACTAACAATAGGTAGAAGTCTAGCCAATTAGTTGCCTTGTGTTGTCATTACCTGATTTTAGAAAGTATTTTGTTCTACAGCCTTGTCATATTAGACAGAGTTTTTTCTTTCATTTTTTTTTTTCTGGAGGTAAAAATATAACTACATATCTTGTGCCAGACATGCCAGCTCGGTTGTGATTTCATCATTCAGACACGGTCTGTCTTAGTTTCTACTCCAGTCTCAGCAGCCAGAATCACGCCTGATCCATTGGAAGATGAAAAATGCTTGAAGAATGAATGAACTAATGAAGAATGAATAAACATGCTGGCTGTATATGTATGTATTAATGTTTTTCCAAAAATATATAGGTTACTTATATGTTAACAAAAAGAGGACAACAAATTTATTCTGCCAAATTAGGCCATCAGTTTTTTAGTTTTCATTCATTTGAAAATAGTTATTGAGTGATTATTATGATCCATCTTTCTGTAAGCAATCAATCTGGTTATGATATAATTCCTAGTGGTGTCTGAGATTGATCCCTAAGTTATTTCAGCGACCAAAGCTGGAGATAAAAGCTTCAAAACTCCATGTATATACTACAAAGTGCATATGTATATTTTGTTCAGTGTTCAAAATGTAGAATAACAGTATGGACAAAGGGAATTTGAAACTATTTGTTGAATGTCTTCCAATTTTTTAAAATACATTGAATCTTTTATGAACAGATTAGCTTCTTTTGCTTTAGTTACTAATCATTCATAACCTCAGATTTGTTTGGCACTCAATCATTTATTTTTCCTAGAATATATGCAGGTACATTTGAATTGTAATTTTGTCCTTGAATATTTTCTGTAAATAGTCTAAATAAAATGAAATGAACATAAAAACGTGTCTTCTAAAGCTATGTGAAGTATGATTCAAGACTTTTTTTTCAAGCATATGCATATGCGCTTCTACTTTGACACCGACAACTTAAGGTAAAATTAAACATTACTTAATGGAAAATATCTTTTGTGATCCTAGAGTAAATTTGTTTATGCCTGCATGCACGAATGTTTGTAAATAAATATTAATGTGTTGGCATATACAGCTACATAGCTTTTAATGGGTTCATATTTAACACATTACTCTAATACTATTTCCATTTTACAATAGAATAGCGTGAGCGTATTTCAATGTCAATACATATAAATTTACCTCCTTCTTCAAAAGGACACCTCACTTTTCTTGAGTGTATTTGTGGGAAAATAACACCAGTTGCTGCAACCCCAAATTTTCAGTAGCTCAAGGAAAAAGAAGCTTATTTCTTGTTACAGAAAGTCCGATCTCCTGTGAATTCTCTCTTCTTCAGGTATAGATTCAGACACCTAGACTCTCTCCATTTTGTGGCTTTGCTATTCTTAGACTTGGAGATCTCTGCTTAATCTTTTCCATGTAGCTGACAGATCAGGTCATGGGGGAAGATCAAACAGGACAATTTTGAGCCAAGTATGATGTACATCATTACTTCAGCCCCTATTCTATTGGCTATAACTTAGTTACAAGACAACCCTTACCTGCTGGGAAACAGGAAAATGTAGGTGAGTGAATAAGAGGAAAAGAAAGAAGAATTGATTATTATCTAGCCAGTTGCTGCCACATCAAATATAAATGTACTGTTATTTATTTAATGATTTCTGTACCATACGTACTTTTTGTTTTTTAACAGGACTATTGTTGCAATAAAAACACACACATGCAAATACCTTTAAACACACATTTGAGTTTTTGTAGGTATTTTAAGTAAAATTTTAATGTGAACTTTCAGATTGTTTTCAGAAAATGCCATATGAATTCATATTCACATCAATGGTGCACGAGAAAAGTAATTTTTTCGTATTTGCCAATATTGGATTGTATCAATCATTTAATTTTATTAGTCTGGAAGTAAAATGGGCTTGCAGCTTCAAGTCTTTTAAACAGGCAAACCTACAGTGTACTCATCCATATTTCTCAGCAGGCCTTTGCATTCATGACTATGAATTAGAATAAGTTTGATATAGGGTCATATTATATGACTATGGTCAAGAAATAACCTAGATGGTATTTTATTTTAAAATTTATATATATATATATGGTTTTAGACGAAGTCTCACTCTGTCGCCCATGCTGGAGTGCATTGGTGCAGTCTCAGTTCACTACAACCTCCACCTCCCAGGTCCAAGCAGTTCTCCTTCCTCAGCATCCCGAGTAGCTGAGACTATAGGCACATGCCACCACCACCATGCCCAGCTACTTTTTGTATTTTTGGTGGAAATGGGGTTTTACCATGTTGGCCAGGCTAGTCTCGAACTCCTGACCTCAAGTGATCCACCCACCTCAGCCTTCCAAAGTGCTGGGATTATAGGCTTGAACCACCATTTTCGGCTTCCTATATAGGTATTTTAATGGAGGCTCTGATTCTGGGTGCATTATCTATTTTTCTCAAATTAATTTATTACCTGTATTTCACAGATTAAGGATTGAATTTGAAAGAGTGAATATGTGTGTGTTAATTTTAATTCTACTTTTTAAATTCTCTTTGTTAATATATGAAATATAACCACTGATATAGTAGCATACACTAAGTTGTGTAGCATACTCTAATAAACATCAAGATTATTTTATAGATGTCCTATCCCTAAGGCAAGATTTTTTACTTTTGGTACTACTTAGAAATTTTATTAAAATATTAAACATTAATATAATATTTGCAGAAATTATGGTGATAAACATTTTAAAAACTCATATATGAAGAAGGAAAAACTTTAACCATTATTATTTCTATAATTCCATATGTTAATTGTTTAAGGATAAATTTTCTACGCCATTTTCAACAGCTTGTCCAATGTAGTGCAAAACACATTTGACATTGCATATAATATTTCCAATAGTCTGAATTTGACTTTTTTTCACTTAAACTTACAATAGGAGCATTTTTTCTTTTATTTAAATATTCTTTGCTGGCATGATTTTACTGCATGCCTATGAAACTAACATAGTTTAATTCATAAGCTTTTAGTAGTAACTTAAGTCTTTGTAAAATTTCATTTCTTTTTAATATATAAAAACTGATGAGAGGAACATCTTAAACAATACCACATGTTTATCATTAGTCATTTATTTAAAATAAATGGTTATTCTAAATGATTGCTCTATGGTATTTCTGAGACAAAGTATGTGCCTTTTTTTTTTTCTCTTTTTGAGACAGTGTCTCACTCTGTCTCCAGGTCAGAGTGCAGTGGTGTGATCTCGGCTCACTGCAACCTCTGCCTCCCGGGTTCAAGCCATTCCTCTGCCTAAGCCTCCCGAGTAGCTGGGACTACAGGCACATGCCACCATGCCCAACTAATTTTTGTATTTTTAGTAGAGACAGGGTTTCACCATGTTGGCCAGGATGATCTCAATCTCTTGACCTTGTGAACCACCCGACTTGGCCTCCCAAAGTGCTGGGATTACAGGCGTGAGCCACAGTGCCCAGCCACATATACCTGTCTTTCAAAACCAAACAACTAACTTCTCTCATTTTTTTCTCTCACTTTTTCTATCTTTGTCTCTCTTTCTCCTTCTGTCCTATCTTTCACAGATACTTTATTACCTATTGTGTACCAAGAACTGTTTAGGCACTGAGGATTAAACAGTGAAAAGACAAAGTGCTTCCTGGAACTGTGAATTTGGCATTCTAATTGTGGAAGCAAATCAATGTCAATGGATTTCAAAATGGGTCTATGTTTTAAGATTGGTGAGATGAAGTTACACATACAGTTGAATTGTTTTTCTTTTATTTACTATTAATTTAGCAATAGAGTGAAAGGGATACTTGCAATTTTAAGAAGAGAAATAAGTAAGTTTGCTTCCCTGGTGGCTCCCTCTTATGGAGGCAAGTCTTCGATTCAGAAGAGATTCATTTTCACTGCTGTGTAGAGGATGGTTTGAAGGGGCCTGAAATAAGAACAAGGAGGTGAATGAGGAGGAACCCGCCGCGCTAATCTAGGCATGGAATAATAGCTTTCTCTATGAACTATGTCACAATGGAAATAGAGTCAAGAAAGAATATCGAGTATACATATTGAAGATGAAATAAATTGATTTTGCAGAAAGAAATTGTTTTGTGGAGAGTAAAAGAAAGGAAAATAATTCAAGGACACCTCCATTTCTGGCTTGAGATATTTGGTGGATGTTCAATACTACTGCAGGGATAATGGGGATTAAGGTGTGGGTTTAGGGAGGAAAATCAAATGTTCTGTTCGGACATTGTATTAGTCTCTTTTTATACTGCCATAAAGAACTTCCTTGAAACTCTGTAATTTATAAAAGAAAGAGGTTTAATTTGCTCACAATTCCATATGGCTGGGGAAGCCTCAAGAAACTTACGATCATGGTGGAAGGCGAAGGGGAAGCAGGCACCTGCTTCACAAAGTGGCAGGTGAGAGTGAGTGTGTGAAGGAGGAACTGTCAGATACGTATAAATCCATCAGATCATATGATAACTCACTCACTATCACGAGAACAGCATGGGGAAAACCATCCCCGAGATCCAGTCATCTCCCTCCCTCCACACATGGAAATTACAGGTCCCTCCCTTGACATGTGGAGATTACAAATTGAGATGAGATTTGGGTGGGGACACAGAGCCAAACAGTACCAGACATTATAAATATCAGGTATCTATAGCATAATCAATTGGAGATAGAGAGGAAGTAATTGAATACACGAGTCTAAAGCTCAGGTAAAGAGTAGAGATAAAATTGTGGGAGTTATTAGCAAGTTCATAGTATTTCAATTCATATGGTTGCACGATATCATTTAAAGACTGACCACAGAGAGAAAGATGAAAAGAGGCCAGGATTGCTCCCAGGAGACACTTCATACTGTGAGAGACAAAGGCATGGAGGAACTAGCAAAGGAAGTAGAGAAGTAACCAGTGAGAATGAAAAACATCAGGAGGCAGTGGCTTCGAGGAAGTCAAAAGGAGAGAGTGGTTGACGGCATCGATTTTACTAGAAAGTTGAGTAAAAGCAAACAGAGAAGAACACAGTGGTTTGGGGGAAAAAGGTCACCTGCCATTTTGAGTGGTCCACTACAATGTGTAATCATAGCTATAATAATGAGAGATTTCCAAAAATGAAAGAAAAAACAGGCAAGTTAAGAATTCTACAGCACAAGAAGAAGGGAAAGGCAAGTTTCTGTACCATTAATCTAATATTTAGATGAGACACAGAAATTTGTGCATATATTAATATTTCTTATAATATTACTGAGACCATCTTTCCCCAGAGAGTATAAGGCTAGTGCTTGAATACATAGAATAGTTTTTTGACATAAAAGAATACTTTCAAAGCAACAAAAAGTTTTGCATTGATTTGGGTCAATGAAGCATTTAGCTCTTGTGATTTAATGTATAATGGACTATGTTACAGCTTCTTCCCACTCCCCTGAATATTTGGAGATATCTGAGGAACCCATTAGGTGGAGTTAAGATCTCAGGAATTTGGGAGTTGCAGAGCATAAGATACATTTCTAGATATCCTTCTATGGTAAACAGTCCTTAGGTTAAGAAAACAGCAATTTAGGTAATACTTTAAACTAGTGGATGTATCCAATTAACTTTATTAAAACAAAGGCTATTTTTCTGAAATATTATTGTAATTTATGTAATTATGTGAGTTTCAAAGAAATAGCTGGCATTTTTGTCTAGGTTTTTTTTTTTCTTGAGACAGAGTCTTGCTCTGTCACCAGGCTGGAGTGCAGTGGTGTGATCTTGGCTCACTGCAACTTCCGCCTCACGTGTTCCAGCAACTCTCTTGCCTCAGCCTCCCGAGTAGCTGGGAATACAGGTGTGCACCACCACACCCATCTAATTTTTGTATTTTTGGTAGAGACGGGGTTTCACCATGTTGGCCAGGATGGTCTCGATCTCTTGACTGCATGATCCACCCGCCTCAGCCTCCTAAAGTGTTGGGATTACAGGCGTGAGCCACCACACCTGGCCTTGCCTACATTTTTATACTATTTGTCAGTCATAATCTGTGACAAAGACATAAAGTAATGAAAATGCCCAGCATGTCAACTGAACCTTAAGAAAGATCCCTCTGTAATTTGTGGGGAAGGAGGGTGGAATTCTTAGGCACCTCTAATTTGGGAAATTTGGAATTGTGCACAAAAATATAATGTATAGTATATACATATATACATGATTTGATCTGTAATATATGCCAGAACTTGCCATCAGTAGTCAAAATGTCATTTCGACTGCAAGCTTGTTGGTTTGTTCTCTGTGAACTTGGAGACCATGGGTGAAGATAACAAGTGATACATAAAATAATTATTACTACAATCAATCACTTCACACCTTGTACTCTTTCCCTAGAAAGGAGAAACTGCAACCCCTAATTTTGAAGTTTTTAAATCAGTGAATCTCAGTTTCTAATTCTGTTGTTCATATTTTTCTCCAGGTGTCACATAGCATTTAATATATCTAAAATTAATATATGACTACCACTTAATAATTCCTAGGCCCAAGGCTAGTTATTGCTTCCCACCCTCCCAGAAGTTGTGTGACCAAAGCTCCATGCTCTACAGGACACCCATTATTAAAAGTGTCCTCTGATAACTGAAACAGAGGAGAATGGTTTGGAGGCTTTAAGCCATTTTATCTTGAATAACCTGTGATAAGTTGGGTCTTTGACTTTGTACAACTTAATAACCAATAGGTGAAAGTATATATTCTTCCTTATGAAGAGGAACACACATTTTTCTAACTATATCATCATTGTTGACCCTTTTCAAACAAATCACAAATATTGGAATAGGATAATAGCTTAAAAAAATCAGGAAGAACTAAAAACAAACGAGCCATCACTGTGGCTCCAGCCTTCAGATTGAGAGAATTTGGCGTTTCTGGAAATTAGATCTATATTAACAAATATCATCTTGAATTATAACTCCCACAATTCCCTCATGTCATGGGAGGAACCCCGTGGGAGGTGATTGAATTATGGGGCCGGGTCTTTCCCGTGCTGCTGTCTTGATAGTGAATGAGTCTCATGAGATCTGATGGTTTTAAAAATGGGGTTTCCCTGCACAAGCTCTCTTCTCTTGTCTGCCCCAGTGAGATGTGCCTTTCACCTTCCATCATGGTTTTGAGGCCTCCCCAGCCATGTAGAACTGCAAGTCCAATAAACCTGTTTCTTTTGTTAATTGCCCGGTCTTGGATATGTCTTTATCAGCAGTGTGAAAATGAACTAATGCAGAAGATCTTGAGTTATTTGACGCTAAAACCTGAGAAAGATAACACCCCTGGAACCAAAAATCTATACTCCAGTTGTTCTCATTAGTTTTACTAAAAATGTCTTTTTGGAAGAAACTGATGGGCCCTCTGCTGCCTTTAACTTCCGTGGACTAAATGGAGGCAATTGATACTACCATTGTCTTCAATACCATCTTTTCCCTCAGACCTACACCTCTATCATTATTCTCTAGTTCAATACACTATGTGGATTTTCTTTATTAAAAAAAAGGAGTTTCATGAATCCCCAGCTCTGTCAGACTTTCCGTAAAAATTCATGTTAATTATACCTCAAACCTATCTCTAAAATGTATCTGCTTCTTTCTATTCCTACTATGAGTGACTATGCTACTACAATAACTTCATAACTGATCTCTTTGCGTTCAATTTTGCTTTCTATCAATCTATTCTCTTCACACTGCTGCCAGGGTGATCTCTAACAAAATCACATCTGATAATCATAGCATCCGCTTATGCATTCTGAGGGTTTCATATTTTCTTTGAAAAGAAAATACAAAATTCTACATATGACCTTTCCCACCTGGCCATCTTTACCTCTAATTCTCTTCACCACACAATAATCTCACAGCTGGTGATCTGTTAGAATTCTCACCACTTCTCCTTTGAAGTGCTTCTGAGGCCTTTCTGAAATTCTCTGATTCTCCCAAATGTCATAAATTCTGTCTTAACTAGAGATTTGGATATATTGTTTCCCTTCCTGGAAGACCTTTCTTCTCCATTTTTAACTGTCTTTCTGATATTCAGATATCAGGTGATAAAAAGTAATATTCAATTCTTTGGAGAGAACTTCTAAGACTGCTCAGAAAAGATAAAATATTCTGTTACTCTTTGCTTGAACCCACCACATTGTCATTATTGATTTGGCATCTCTCTTTCCCTGTTGACCTCAAGTGGTCTTGTCTTGCTGACCTACATACCTAGTATCTATAGTGGAATTGACAACAATAATACAAACAAACATTAGACAAAGTGGCAGATTAGAGAAACACATTTGCAAACTTCATACAGGTTGCGCATCCCTTATCTGAAGTACTTGGGACCAGAAGTGCTTTGGATTTTAAAATATTTGTATGTACTACATAATGAGATATCTTGGGATGGGACCAAGTCTAAACACAAAATTTATTTATATTTATACACTTCATTGCCTGAGGGTAATTTATACAATTTTAAAGATAATTTTGTGCAGTTTCAGATTTTAAAGCATTTTGGATTTCAGATTTTCTGATTAAGAATCCTCAACCTGTAATAGAAAACTGATACGTATTTACAATATATAGGGAATATTGGGAATAAATATAAAAATAGACCCCAAATGAAAAGATTCATTATATCCAATCTGAGAAAAATGGAGGTTATTCAGAAGGTTATAGTTCGTGGGAGAGTGTGGGAATTGTTAAAATATTTTTAGAATTCAACATAGAATTCTCTATTAGAATTTTAAAAATGTATATACCTTTTGATTTGGCCATTCTGTTTCTAGGAACGTATCCTCTATAACCATTAATTTATGCACAAAGAGGTACACACAAAGATGCTTATTATATCATAATTGTAAGAGATCTTGAAGCTAAAATAGTGGAAAGCCCATGAGCAAGTGAATGGTTGAAGAAATTATGGAAAATATATATTGTGTATAGCTGCTTAGAAAAATGCAAAAAAAATTATATGTTGTAAAATGGAGGGCTTTTCAGGGTATATTTTCTTTTCTTTTTTTTTTTGGAGACAGAGTCTTGCTCTGTCACCCAGGCTCAAGTGTAGTTATACCATCTCGGCTCACTGCAGCCTCTGCCTCCTGGGTTCAAGTGATTCTCATGCCTCAGCCTCCCAAGTAGCAGGGACCACAGGTGTGCATCACCACACCTGGCTAATTTTTGTATTTTTAGTAGAGTCAGGGTTTTACCATGCTGGCCAGGCTGGCTTCAAACTCCTGGCTACAAGTCAAGGTATAATTTCAAATGACAAAAGCAAATTGCATGGCAACATATATGTTCACATTAAAAGGCACATATATGTGTGTGTCTATGTGTATATATATATATATATGTATGTAGATGTATTACAAAGAAAAAATAAATAACTTCATTAGAGATATACTAAGTTTCTTTTAGATTTTTTTCTATGTGCAAGTAGAATTTTTGCTACATTGGTCAGAAACTTTTCTTTTTAAACATTTCCTTTTATATTATTGCAGTAATATTGTTGTTATAAACTTACAGAGATAATCTATTTATGTAACAGGGGAGAGAATCCAGAAACAGGCCAGGCATGGTGGCTCACGCCTGTAATCCCAGCACTTTGAGAGACCAAGGCAGGTGGATCATGAGGCCAAGAGATCCAGACCATCCTGGCCAACATGATGAAACCCCGTTTCTACTAAAAATACAAAAATTAGCTGGGCGTGGTGGCATGCAACTGTAGTCCTAGCTACTTGGGAGGCTGAGGCAGGAGAATCGCTTGAACCTGGGAGGCAGAGTTTGCAGTGAACCCCTTGACTCTGTTCCAGCCTGGCAACAGAGCAGGACTGTGTCTCAAAAAAAAAAACAAACCAAAAACCAAAACAAAACAGAATAAAACAAAAGGACTATTCAGTGGTGCGAAGACGTTTGAATGTTCACATTGTCACAGGATCTTTCAGGTGTCGTTTTGCCAGCCAGAAAACTCTGTGGCCAGTGGTGCCTTTGCCTCAGTTTGCTCAGGCCTACTGGGTTCCATCCAGGCTGTGCTCAGCCCACAGTACTGGCCTGGATCCCACACCAGCCAAGGGTGAGCCAGGCATGGAGTGGTGAGGAGTGTGTGAGTGAATGACAGTGGGATCTGGCCACTGCACACAGCCAGGCATGCCACCTGCTGAAGTGAGGCAGGCAGCTCTAGGTGCCAGCCAGGCACCAGCTCTGTGCAAGGCTGTGGCTGGACAAGATGTACTGCAAGTGGCTTCTGCTACAGGCACCGGCATCTGGATTTGGGGACTGCAGTAGCGACCAGAAGCTTGGAGTCGTCAGAAACTGCAGAGCCCTAAAGAGGGAGTTATGGCCCTGGCTTGGGAAGCCCCCAGGTCTGGGCTTCCCAAAAGGCTGCAGCTCTTCTCTCCTTCTTGTTGCCTGCAACATGGAGAGCTGGGTCATGGTGGGGGGAGCAGGGGAGTGTGTTTCAGCTCAGTCTGGGTTACAGCTGTTTCAGTCCCACCATTTGGCAGGTCTCAAGTTCTTGTCCCATGTCTAGGAAGAATGAGGTACATGGACAACTGGAGGGTGAGCAAGGCAGAGAGGAGCTTCACTGAGTGACAGAACAGCTCTCAGGAGACTGGCAATGGGTAGGTCATTTCCTCAGGCAGGTTTTCCCAGTAAGCTGAGGAGACTGGAAGTGGGTAGTTGCTTCATGCAGCTGGTTGTCCCAATGCCTGTCAGAGTCTGCCTTAGTCCCGGGGTTTTTTTGGGCTCAGAAGGGAGAAAGTGTATGCTGACTGGTCCATGGATGGCCACTGGTGGGCCTGGAAAAAGCACCCTCTGATTGGCCAAATGGTCATCAATTAAGTTCTCACTCGGAGCTGCAGACTTCACCCAGAACTGTCAGCTCGGCCCCCAGGCTTCAGGTCATCCCTGGATTCAAGGTGGAGTTTCACTCAGGACCCATCCCTTTCCACCCAGGAGCCTGTCTGCCTCCTGCCACCATCAACATGTCATCCATGGTGCTCCGGCTGTTCATGCCAAGGGGTTCCTGCAGGTCCATGCTGAGCTGCCCTCCGCCCCCCACCTTGGGCTCACTACCATGCTCCTGGGGACACCAAAAGTCAAGAGGGGGCCGAGGTGGAAGGGCGCTGGAGTGTCAGCGTGCCCTGAGCGTGCACACACCTGGCCATGTTTTGACAGCGTTTGGGCCTGACCACAACTTTGGTCTGCCCCAGAGTGGGCACCAGGAGCAGGGAGAGGCCAGGGAGTGAGGGCAGGCACTTTCAAGGCTGCAGGGGCAGGGGGCTTCCTGAGTCCCCGAGAGCACAGAGATGCCTAGGTCCAGAGGCACGGCTGGGAAGCTGCACCTGCGCCCAGGAGTGTGGGCTCCTACCTTGCCAACTCAGTAGGAGCCAGAGCTCCCGCCTGTTCCTGGTCCACACCATCTCCACAGAGTGAGTAGCCCTGGCCGTGCCATGCCCCCTGCAGCTGGTGACCCTACAGCAGCTGCTCCAGATGGGCTGCTGCCACCAACAACATAGTTTGAAAGAAATCATATTGAATTCCTACTTCACATTACATACAACAGTCAATTCCATGTTGCTTTAAGGCTTCCATGTGAAAAGCACAACCACAAAATTATAAAATATAAAATTAAAACTCTGAAATGAGAGCTCAGTAGATTTTATTACATAAAGATTAAGAATTTCTACTCATCAAAAAGACATAAGAAACATGATAGGACAAAATACTGACAGGGATATTTATATAATATAAAGCTCCAAAATGTGTAGTATCTAGAGCACAAACTTCGATAGGAGTTAAAAGCCAAACAAATTATTGGGAATGCAAATGAAAACCCCAGTGAATTTCCACTTTACATACAACATTTTAAAAAATGTAGAAGTCTTAGATACCATGAATTTACAATGATGTGAAGCAGGAACAAGCGTATCTATTGGGGTAATATAAATTAATTATATCACTTCAGAAAACAGTCATGCAGATTCCTATAACTTTGAACATTGATACACGAAGTGAGTTGGCAATCCCACTCCTCAGAATATAGATTTGAAAAATTCTTTCACCAGTGTTTTTCACCTCATTAGAAAAATCACTATATAATTTAGAATAGAAAAAATCCTGGGCAGAAAGCATAGGTTCATCAAAGTAGAATGGATAAAACTCATTAAAGTTACACAAGGATATTTTATATAGCAATGATAATGAATAAACTACAATAATATACATTAATATGGATAAATCTTATTTCAAAGTCTGATATGATTTCATTCCATTAAAGAAGAAAAGCAAGCAAAATGTAACAATATATCATTTATGGATACAATATAGGTGACATTGTCAAAGAGAGACTCAAGAGAATAATTAACAAAAAATGTAGGAAACAGGTTCCCTGAAGAGAGACAGTGGGAAAATAGAGGCAAATGGTGAGCCATACATGGAGTTTCAGGCAGATGGTGGAGATACAGATAGTCATCTTATTAGAATTCTTTAAACAGCGTATATTTGTTTTAAACATTTCTTTTTCTGTTTTTCTTTTTCCCAGTGTGTAATTTGTTTATGGGGGAAAATCTCATTTGTCAAATACAAGGATTAATTGTGTTGACATAAAACTTACTGGACTGAAATATTCTTCTGGAATACAAAATAATTACCATAAAATATACAAAATTTAAAATAAAACTCTTTATGGAGGAATCATGAGTTAAGATTGTGAATATATATAACTATGAAGCTTACTTTGAATTCATTTCTTTTCACACACAAAATGTTGATTGATTATTTACTGTACCGGGGCCATACACTAGTGAATGGAAATAAAGCAATGAACAAGACAGCAGTAGTATCTGTCGTCTTTCAGTCTATAAGGTAATCTTTGTCATAATATTCCAAGAGTGAGTACTACAGATATTAACAACAGTGGTATATAAATATTTTATGTTTAATAAACTTACATCCAATTAAAGCTCATTGAATGGATATATAAATTACTAATTTTAAGCTGTTGAACTAGAAATTTTTCTCCTTACCCATAACAATATGATAGATAACAATCATAGGTTTAAGCTTCTGGTTAAATTCATGCTCTTTGAAAATTGCAATCTAGACAACTTATGGAACTCTATGAATTCTATACTAAAAAGGTTTGGCTGTTTTTAGGTATTGGCTTAAATCATGTCTTCCATTTCCAAAATATCATCAATTAAGAAAGTATCTAAACTTAAAAAAAGTTTATCTTCCCCTACAAAGATGTCTCTTCTTAATAATGCATTTTCATGTCTTCAGTGGTTTATAAAGAAGACTGAGCACATCATAGTCAATCAGGAAATACTTAAATATCTTCATGTGTACTTAAGAACACAATACATTATCAAACTATGCTGCTATTGTACTAATACTAGTGGCTTTAAACAAACATTTTGCTAAATGAGAAAAAAGAATTTTACCAAAAATTTGAATTTCCACTCTTTTTTCTCTCTCTTCTAGATTACTGTGTGTGTGTGTGTGTGTGTGTGTGTGGTGAGTGTGCACGTGCTTGCATGTAACTGTGTGCTAGACATTTGCATTCATTTCTGCTTTTTGTCTTTTAACTCTTCAGAAGTGGTAATATCCCATTGGCGACACAATAAATCCTCCCCCAAGCTACCAAATATATCATGATGCATGAAAGCACTTAGTGAAGCAACAGCAAGAACAAATGATTTTTCTGAGCCAATTTTCCTATATTCTTGCAAATGTTTCTGATAAAAACAATTGGAAAATAATAGAAATGCAAATTAGACATTTGTGATGTCTCATCAGAGTAGTTTCCTATCAAGTCCAATTATTCTTCCATATTTCTTTAACACTTCTTCATTGAGCTGCATAGCAGTTTGAATGAAAGCCAAGATGTAGAAGAATAAACATAGTTAGATTGAACCAACAGTGGGCTTTTTTGGTTGAAACTCAGGCCTGGGAGCAAACACGAATGATAAAGTTATTATGAAGGCGGGTTTAAATGATTACACATTAAAAATTAAATTTTGAAATGTTAAGCTAATACATTTGGAAATGGGCAGCCATTTAAAGATGTATACCCATAATGTGTATTTTATGAATTTGTTCCCTATTAAGCGTGAAGCTCTAGTTCCATAACTTCTGGGAAGCAATGGCCAGTCTCAGACTTAAGGATTAAGAGGTACGTGATTTTTAAATATATTAAATGATATATAACACCTGGAAAATATATAAACAATAGAAATAGAAACTCAGGTGTACCTACTTAAGAATTTCTAAATATGAGGTTTTATTTCCTCTGTAGAGGAAGAGTTTACATTTTAAGTGATTGACTGTCATATCACTATTTTTTGTATCACTAGCTATATGCAGCCATGGTGCCAAATTAAGGGACAGCAAACACACAAACCTGGGGTTGATGCTTGATGTCAAGTTCCAACACATATGAGAGACCAAATCATCTACAAACTATAGATGACATTTTCACAGAAGTTTTCAAATTTTCCAAATTAGTTGTGCCTAACTATAATGTTGTTGTTATTGTTCTCACCATTACAAATGAGTCCTTCACGTTAAAGTAACATTCCTGGGGTTTTTTATTATTAATTCTTTGTTAGAGATGATGGTTGAGACATGGTACAAAAATTTTCTGCAAAAAGTTCAGATATTTCTTTGAAAATCAGACAATTGTATGCACTTTCTAGGTAAAATTCACATACAATAAAATGCACATATTTTTGTCAATGTACTTTTTAATGATTCATTACAAATGTATACACCCCTGTAACCACCGTCACACAAAAGATGTCGAATATTTTCATTGCTTCAGAAAAATTTTTCTGGCCCTTTGAAGTACTCTGTCTTCCAAGTTCCAGGAGATTAAAAATTTGCTTTGTGTCATCGTAACATTTTTCTCCTCTAGAATTCCATATCAATGGTATGGAATTCCAAATTCAGATTTGGAATTTCAAATTCAATTTCAATTCAAATATGGAATTTGAAATCAAATTTCCATATCTATGGTAGGTTATTTTTTATATCTGGAATCTTTCACTCAGCATAATTTTTTCAAGATTTATATTGTTGTTACATATAATTAATTTTTATTGATGAATAATATTCCTACCTCATAATTTATACATTCATCTGCTGATGGAAATTCAAGTTGTTTACAATTTTTTTTATTATAAATAAAACTTCTATGAACAATTGTGAACACATCTTTGTGCAGACATATATCTCTTGAGTACCTCAAAGTAGAATCACTGGGATATAGGGTAAGTGTATATAAATTTAAAATGATTTTTTAAAACGTTTTTATTTTCTTTGAGACAGAGCCTTGCTTTGTTACCTGGGTTGGAATGCAGTGGCGCAATCATGGCTCACTGCAGCTTCAACTTCCCGGGCTCAAGTGATCCTCCCATTCAGCCCCCCAAGTAGCTGGAACCACAAGTACACACCACCAAGCCCAGCTAATTTTTTAATTCTTTGTAGAGACAGGGCCTCACTATGTTGCCCAGGCTGAGTTGGAACTCCTGGGCTCAAGTGATCCTCCTGCCTCGGCTTCCGAAAGTGCTGAGATTATAGGGGTGAGTCACTGCACCCCTCCTAATACTTTTTTTTCCCCCTGAAGGGGTGGTATATTCCATTCCCACAATCGCATGATGAGGTTTTCATAATTTGTTCCTTATCCTAGCCAACACTTGGGATTGTTCAATTTTTAAATTTTAATCATTCTAATAAGTGTGCGATGATATCTTATTTTGGTTGAATTTGTGTTCCTCAAATAATATATTATGTAATTATCTTTCTTGGGGTTTCAAACTGATGGTAAAAATTTTAGAAAATGAGATCAACAGGTGCCAGTTCATGGTCCAGAAGTAGCGACAATCACATCAACTTCAGTCCTGCTTATACTGAGGAAGGTTATCCAACTGGAGAATAATGTACATTTTCATGTGAGTTAGAGAATGGAAAAAATAATAATTAGGACTATTTCTATAATTTCCTTGAATATTTGAGTCACCTAATAAATTGATCTCTTTTTGCATACATACATGATCAAAAGGAGTCCATCAAATCTTGGTTCAAAATCTGCCTTACTATGTATGAGGTATGTACACGTGGAAAAAATAAGAATTCTAAAAATTTGATATATTAACATGACATTCCAGAAGGGTTGTTTGAGCGCTACATGAGTCACATTGCAGGTGTGGGGAAAACACATTACCCTTTTTTTTCTAATTCTTAAATTAAAAGGCAAATTAGTTTTATACAGAATACTTGAAGGGTTCTTTGGGAGGAAATAACTGAAGAACAGTTTTGATAAACAGTGTCTGTGTTACATTTAGCAGAATTTTCCTAATGATTCCAGAATCGGATACTAAGAAACACGGACACTGCCAGGGAAGGCGCAGTGGCTCCCGTCTGCAGTCCAAGCACTTTGGACGGATCACGAGGTCAGGAGTTCAAGACCAGCCTGGCCAATATGGTGAAACCCCATCTCTACTAAAAATACAAAAATTAGCCAGGCATGGTGGCGCATGCCTGTAATCCCAGCTACTCGGGAGGCTGAGGCAGAAGAATTGCTTGAACCCAGGAAGCAGAAGTTGCAGTGAGGCGACATTGTGCCACTGCACTCCACCCGGGGTGACAGAGCCTGAGTCCGTCTCAAAAACAAACAAACAAACAAACAAACGAGGACACTGTCTGAGCACTCTTATTCTGCATTTGAAGAAATACAGAAACAATGGCAAAAAATCATTTGCTCAGAATTACAGTAAAGAATCTGCAAGTGTTGGCAAGCATAACTTTGATTATTATTTGATTACATGAATTATGAAATGCATGTAAGTTGAAGTTTTAGAGAGACATATAAATACACAGTATAATTGGGGGTTCTTATTATTAAGGTCCCTTGTCTTTAGTATCTGATAGTTTCGCATCTCCTTCCTCATGAGTCCATGGCAGAAAGTGTCAGTCTGTCTTTTCCTGGCTCCTGTGGGTTAGAACCATTTATGAAGTACATATCTCTCCATAGTAGCTCCCTTATGGTGTTTTGATAAGAAGCTATTCTGGGACCTTCAGCTTTTCTTCTGTTACTACCTGTTGAGGTGAGAGCAAAGGAGATAGAGACAGCAAAGGAGGCAAGAAGTGGTCTACTCTCTTTTCCATCTTTCACCCAAGGATAAGTACTAACCACAGCAGAGCTTATATCTGGCTATATATTAAGGATATTTTCCTGAAGACCTGAAGAAAACAAAACAGCATAACATTAGAGCCCAGATAAATTTTGAACAAGATAAAGATTTGATCTTGGAGCCCTTGGGGTTCAGCTATAACCTATCTCTTCTGAGATGATTTAGTTATCCTCCCTCCAGGTGGAGGCAGCTTCATGACCATTCCTCCTGGATATATGTGCATTTGGGGGAAGACCCTTATTCCATCACAAAGCACCAGATAGGAGTAGAGTCCTGGCTCATCCACTCTAATGCTGAATTCCCCAGTGTCCTCTTTTCCATTCTACCTCTCACATGCTCTGACATTGGCACCCTGTCAGCCTGTCCCTTAACACCATAAACTACTATTGGTACATTTTCCAAAGTTTAAGCTTACTTAGAATATGTATGATTGTTTTCTAGCCTGGTTCAATTCCTTTTCATGAATTTGTATTCATTACTAGGTCAAGATAAATACACATTCTTCCTGTAGTTTTCCAGGTCTTGTTTTCTGAACTCGGGAGCAATTGTTTAAAAATTAATACAGTGACAGTGATAATCTGTGTAATGTGATATTCAAAAGCAAAATTTGCATTTTAAAAATGACAGATTTTGTAGCCTTCACCATAGTTGTAATGTTTTAACAATTTGAAGCCAATTTCGATGAGTACCCTAATTTCTCCAAATATTTAGCAAGAAGAGTTTTCCTAAGCAAAGAGTCTAGGCCATGGAAAATTAACTTTCCTCTTTCTCACACTTGTGAGAACAGTGAGGCTCAGAGAGTCTGAATTATTTGCCAAAGGTCCTAAGAGTGGTGGAGCTGGGATTCAAAACTATGTCACTCTTACTCTACAACCATGCTGCCTTCTAAAATTTGTCACTGAATGTAACTTCCCTTAGCACATAAAACTGTGTGCAGCAAAAGTTCTACAAGCTCCGGGGTCAAGGGGAACAATAGGTTTTCTGTGTCTCCAGATAAGTTGACTCAACCCGATCATATTCAATTCAATTTTCATTTATTGATCGTCCATCGGTTTCAGGTACTAAGTGCTAGACATAAAAATGACCAGAGAAAAAAGAGAATTTTGGAATGAGAGCAGAATGGATTATTTTCTTCTTTCTTTCTTCTGGTTCAAATAGTATATCTCCTGCACATGACAGTTTTCCTGTAACCTGGTGTAGCACTTTGAAAATCCAGTAAAGCAGAAGTGACAGCGCTGTAACTCATGAACTCCACTGAGATTGCTATGGTGTGACAAACCTGTCTCAGCTGTCTGTATATAAATTAGGAATTCCTAAAGCTTTCAATACGAAAGTTGCTGTGAACTGCTTCATTTCAAACTGAAAGCATTGAAATGCTAATTAGGAAGCATTTTTTTTTTCCTTCAAAGTAACTTTAAATAACTTTTCGGGAAAGTAAACACAATTAGTCTATTTTTATGGGACAGATTTCTCCCTATGAGAGGAGAATGGCCATTTTTGTGAACTACTGTTGGATATGACATATATATTTTGGAAGTCCCTTTCAATCGTTGGATTTGGCAGATAAAATGTTTATACCGATTGTATTTTATTGAAAGCCATTTTATGCAAATTAATTTAACACAGAATTTAATGATTTTGGATGCTGTGAGATGAGGGGAAATAACCTTTAAAATTAACACTGCAATTTTCATCTTCTGATTGTCTCAGCCTCCCCCAGAATAGAAAATGCTTATTCTCTTGGAGAGAGAAATAAATTTAATCTTTACACGGGCACACTCAAAATTGCTATTATGCTTTTACGTATTTTTTTTCACCATGTCGTATACATTTTCTTTTTATTTTGTGAAGTGAGGTGTGAACGTGAATGTGTGAGCCTGTGTGTGCGTGCACACATGAACAGGAGCGGGGACAAATTCTAAATAAGCTCAGGTAGAATTTATTTATTTTTTCTAATTACAGAGTGCTCACAGAGCACCAAGCAATGGACCGATTTTGCATGTAGCAGAAGCACAGCTGCCTTCTCTCTAACCTACACCTCCTCCTCTATTCCTGACCTTGTAAATGGCATGGATAATTAATCAATGACATACGCTGATGACATAGGTGTCATTCTAAACTCTGTTTTCTATCATACCTCCTCCATTTCCTTCTTAGTGTGGTTGATCAAAGGCCCATCTATTCTTTTTAATAATAATGTCTTCATGTTTTCAAATATATTAATTTCCATTGATACTCTGTGATATACAATCCCATCACTTTTTTTTCAAATTTGTCATAATTCTGTCATATTGCATATCTAGCTTGAATCACTGTTGTGCGAAATTACGGTAAAAGTTCTATTTGAATTGTAATAAAATATAGAAAGGTGAGAAAGGGAGATTTCAATCATTATTTGTGGACTATAGACTCTTAGCTGGTAAAACAAAATGAATAAAATGACAATTAGAAATAACAGAATATTGAAAAATGTCATATAAGTGTTTAAAACTGAAATGTATTAAATTATAAAATATTTATTATGCAACTTATCTAAATAAATTCTACCTGAGCTTATTTAGAATTTGGTTTTCATTTATCTGGGGTACAAGTTCAAGAGTTCAGTTCCTGGGTTATATGGCACTTCTATGTTTAGTTTTATAAGAAACTTCCAGATTGTTTTCCAGAGTGACTGTACCACTTTAAATTCCCATTAGCAATATATGATCCAGTTTTTCTAGATCCTCACCAGAATTTGGTATTGTCACTACTTTTTCTTTTTGTCATTCTGACGGATGTGCAATAATAAAGCATTGTGTTTTAAATTTGCATTTCTGCAATGATTAATGTTGGACAGTTTTTCATGTGCTTATTTGCTATCTGAATACCCTCTTTAAATAAATGTCTTATCATGTTTATTTGCCCATTTTCTCATTGCATTGTGTAATTTTTAATGCTGAGTTTTGAGAGGATTTTTTTTCAATATATTCTAGAGGCAAGTCATTTGTTGGATATGTGGCTTGCAAATATTTTCTCTAAGTCTGGAAATTATCTCTTTTTCCTCTTCACATATGCCTTCAAAGATCAAAATAATTTAGTTTTCATGAAGTACAATTGATCAACTTTTCATTTTATGCAACTTGCTTTTTGTGTCAAGTCTAAGAACTCTTTACCTAGCCCTAATTCCAAAAATTGTTCACTTTTTTTAAAAGCTTTAGAAATTGTTGCTTTATTTTTAAGTAAGTGTTGTCTTTTGAGTTAATTTCTAAGTGAATTATGAAGTTTAATTTGAGGTCAAAATGCCTTTAGTTGATACTCATGTTTGTAATCAAAATTTTACTTAGTATATAACTGACGTATATGCATTTTGCATCAGCATTTAATGATATTTTTCCATCATTTTCTTGAATCTTTTCTTTTGTTCATAGACACTCTGAGAATTAGCTCTTTATCCTTAATGTCTTGAAATACAATTACAATGTATTTAGGTACATAGATTAAAAAAACTTGATAAGTGCTAGGTAGATAATAAATGTAAGGATTTATGTTTTTTTTTTAGTTTACTTGAGTGTATTTACTCACAACTTCTGGAATACATAATACCTAATATAAATCTTTTAACATTTTGGGATCTAACCTCCAAATTTTAAAGTTTCATTTTTGCTATTTATATTTATATTCCCTTGTTTTGTGTTCAGTACAAGTTCTCCACTCTGCCTTCTTAATGCTAACTTATTTTTCATTCTGTGCCCTGGACACATTTTGTCCACATGTACTGAGATGAAATGTCAAAGTTTAATTTGCATAAAATCTTGGTAACTCTTTTTCATGGACCTAATATGTATTCTGAAGTCCTACCCTGTTTGCTCTGTTGTTTCCCAGGATGTAGTGCTTTCTCTCTGTTTACTGAAATGTCCTTTAAGACATAGCATCTTAACAGTGTTTGGTAATTCCTGATTATGGGGTAATTCTTCCTAGAAAGTAAATTATTTTGTTATTTCTGATGCTTATATTTCATCCTGTTTTTAGTGAGAATGAGAAAATATCCAAAAGCATTCACTTTAACTGCTTGCTGGGTATTTGGGTTGCTAGACCTCTGATCCTTTTCTCCTGGGTGTTAGCAGGCATTACCTGTCTCTTTGACTCAAGCTCAAGCCCTCGCTGCTCCTGGTACTGCCTGGAGATAGAAAGACCGAGTATAGCTTGGCCCAAAGGGTAGGGTGGAGAATGCATGGAGAGCGTGACCATTTGTTTGTTCCTTTTGTTGCACCTCAGCTGGTCACTTGTGCTTTGCTGGATGTCTGCCTGCCTCCTGCCTTTACTCTCCCTGGCTCTTCACTTCTGGCACATATACATCCAGCAGTACTTTCTGTAGAAAACCAGAGTATAATTTTATTTCTTGAGTACATCTCTTTTGATCTAAATTATCCAGAGATAACTCAAAATTTCTGGTTCCTGAGGCTTCTTCCGTCTTTCTCCCTAGCTTGTTTAGGAGTGTGTGTGCACCCACGTGTGTGTGTGAGTGTGTCTCATTTAGTGTACTAAATTGGGGTGGGAGGCAATAGCATTAGCTCAGTCTATCAACCTAGTTTATAGAGTGCATATGAACTGGGATCTACTTTCAACTAGGGGCCTGGCGCGGTGGCTCACGCCTGTACTCCCAACACTTTGGGAGGCCGAGGCAGGCAGATCACCTGGTCAAGAGATAGAGACCAGCCTGGCCAACATGGTGAAACCCTATCTCTACTAAAAATACAAAAATTCGTTGGCGTGGTGGCGTATGCCTGTAGTCCCAGCTACTCTGGAGGCTGAGGTGGTAGAATTGCTTGAACCCGGGAAGTGGAGGTTTCAGTGAGCCAAGATGGCGCCATTGCACTCCAGCCTGGAAGACAGAGGGAGACTCTGTCTCAAACAAACAAACAAACAAACAAAAGACATAATTTGAATATTTACATTTAGATAATAACTTGAAAGACGTCAAATCAAGAATACATATATATATGTATATATACACACACACATATATAAATATGTGATAAATATGATCACTTGTAGGAACAAGGCAAAGGATTTGTGGGAACAAGGGATCAGGTTGGCATTTGCCTGAATTGTTGGCTATATAGCCACCTGGCTTATCACAAACATAAATTTCTTTTCTTTTCTTTTTTTTTTTTTTTTTGAGACGGAGTCTCGCTCTGTCGCCCAGGCTGGAGTGCAGTGGCGCGATCTCGGCTCACTGCAAGCTCCGCCTCCCGGGTTCACGCCATTCTCCTGCCTCAGCCTCCCGAGAAGCTGGGACCACAGGCGCCCGCTACCACGCCCGGCTAATTTTTTGTATTTTTAGTAGAGACGGGGTTTCACCGTGTTAGCCAGGAAGATCTCGATCTTCTGACCTCTAGATCCGCCCGCCTCGGCCTCCAAAAGTGCTGGGATTACAGGCGTGAGCCACCGCGCCCGGCCCACAAACATAAATTTCACACAGCACTTAGGGATGAACAATTAACAAATCCTGTAATATTAAATAACAATATTTTTGAGCATGTAAACTATTTTTCCAAACAAAACCTCATTACAGAATCTTAATACCTGGACCCAAATGCAGAACAGTGGCTGAATCCTGAGAAGTGGCTGGAGACCTTGTCATACAGCTTCTCATTTGTAATATATTAGACCCCAAGGCTGTCCAGAGGCATCCTCTGGCTCCAGAGGGAATAGCTTGAAATCCTTTGCCTTAGACTATTTAAGAATGATGCAAAGATAATAATTTTTAAAAATATGCACATATTCAAAAAGGAACCAGAAATATTTCAGGTTCCAGAATGCTTCTACTGAATATTGTAATGATAATTTACATTTGCATTGCTTTTATCTTCTATGAAGTCCATACATCCAAAGAGTGACAGTTTAATTTTTTTTATTTTTTCAGTTTGAACTTCTTTACAGGTGTTCTTGCCTTTACTAATAAGACCCCAAGAGACAGCAGTCCCCATACTAACATATTGAGTGCTAGCTAAAAATAGTAGCCCTGCATTCTTACCATAACATATGAACAGTTTTTGAGCAGACAAATATGAGAGGGAGTTTCCCAGGCATTTTAAATTTTTCTGGTAAAGAGTGGTAAAGATCTAGAGATAAAGGACACTGATTTACATTAAACTATGTTGATAACTTAATAGTCATGTGTTTAAAATTTGAATATTATTTATTAAGCTGAAAATTGACATCCATCAAATTTTTTAGCGAAGTATATGTGAGATACTATGTCAACCAGTAATATAAATATATTAATTATTATTATTATATTCATTAAAGATTCTATCAAGAATACATTTATAAAATAATAGTAAGATTCCCTATTGGGTTTTGTTTTTATTATTTCATTAATCAAATTTTGTCTTTGTTACCTATTAATATTTCACTCTAATAAATAAGTTTAGTTTACACAATTTATGAAGCTGTTGACCTGATAAGACTATTATGAACTTAGCATACACACTGCATATAAACCTAGGAAATCTTTCAATCACAAAACATATTTGAAATTTGTACATTAAGACAATAACTTGGTACAGAGTTCAGCACACTCTTTCTCTAAAGGAACTGATAGGAAATATTTGGGGCTTGAAAGTCCGAATGGTTTCTCTTGCAGTTACTCAGTAGTTATTTTAGCACTAAAGGACACATAGACAATATACAAATCAAAGGCCATAGCTATGTAACAATAAGACTTTATTTATAAATGGTAGGTTGAATTTGGCCCGTGAGCCATATTTTGCTAATCCCTGCTGCATAGTATTTATTCAATATGCATACATTCATCCAACAAACATTTCTTGAGCACTTGTTGCGTGCCAAAATAGATATTATTTCTTAGGGAGATAAAAATAGGCAAAACATTTCAAGCTTTAAACTGATTACATTGTGGTATGGATACAGGGGAAAAAATGAATAGATAAAGAAAAGAGTGATAAAATTAGGATACAGGCTTACACTGGGACTCAAAGGAGGGTAGAGCTTCTAAGAACCTTTATATGAGGAAATCAAAGGATCAAACATGAAGGGAGGAAGGAAAATATTTTCAAACTGTGTGCCGTGTTAATAGGTAAACTTACCTTCTGTACAGTTTCACTAGGCTTAGAATTTCGTGGTATTCAGGCAATTCAACCACAAAACACCAACTTTTATGTGATGTCTCATCCACACAAGGAACCCCTGAGATAACATTTCCAGAGCTTCGCAATGCAATGCATTTAAATGTAATTCTCTCTTCAGCTGAAACCACTATTCTTACACTAATTGTTACATGTTAACTGATGCAATGCTATTTTTGTATTTAAGTTATCTTTTCATATGCCATACTTTTTTTTTTTTTTTTTCTGAGATGGAGTCTCGCTCTGTTGTCAGGCTGGAGTGCAATGGTGCGATCTCAGCTCACTGCAACCTCTGCCTCCCGGGTTCAGTGATTCTCCTGCCTCAGCCTCACAAGCAACTAGGATTACAGGCACCTGCCACCACGCTCAGCTAATTTTTGTATTTTTAGTGGAAACGGGGTTTCACCGTGTTGGCCAGGATGGTCTTGATCTCTTGACCTTGTGATCCGCTCGCCTCGGCCTCCCAAAGTGCTGGGATTACAGGCGTGAGCCACCATGCCCAGACCTCATATGCCATGCTTTTATGTGTAAGATCATCTTTTTCATACCTTAGATGTATTTCTCTTGTGGCAGTTATCACATAAACTATAATTTATTAGTTTATATATTTGATTTCACTTCAACATTGGTATTTTCTTCTCCAAAAGATTGCTATTTCCTTGGTTAAGGGCCTATAAGTTTGAAGTATCAAAAAAGAGACACACTCTCAAACTTGCATAAACAAGAAGAAAATGGACTGAGACCAGGGCTGGGACCCCATCCACCCAGGCATCTCCACCCCAGGCCCATAGGCTTGCTCTTCTTTGCTGCTTGTGCCTTATGCTTATAATTTCTACACACTAATTTATTTGATTTGCTGTGTTTATGCATGATGAAAAATAGTTGTCCTGGCCCATATTCTGACAGATATTAAATAAAATCACTTTGTTCCAAACCTGAATTCCTGAGACCAAGAGTTTGTTTCCAAATGAGGTTTAGGAGTCCAGCCTGAGCCCTTCTTCCTTGCCCAGAGTAGCAGGGTTACATACACTAGAAACAGAGCTACATAGTCACCCCTCCAGGCCTGAGAAATCAGTCTTAAGGGAAGAGGGTCTTAGGCCAGGTGGAAACTCTAAAATACAAATTCTGTTGTGTTTTTCTTTAGTGCTGAGAACAATTGCTTTATCTAGTTGTTTTAATCTCTGGAGATTTGTATGATGTCCAGTGCAATGCAGAAATCTAGAAAACAAATGGCTGAACTAAGCAGTAGCAATGAGGACATGAGCAATAAAGAGACTGAATAAATACATTTATGTGCCACATAATATTTTGGTCAAGGATGGATGGCAAATACAACGGTGGATTCAAAGGATTATAATGCCATATTTTAAAAATTATTATTATTATTTAAATGGGTATATTAGTTCATTTTCATGTTGCTGATAAAGACATACCCCAGACTGGGAAGAAGAAGAAGTTTAATTGGACTTACAATTCCACATGGCTGGGGAGGCCTCAGAATCATGGTGGGAGGTGAAAGGCACTTCGTACATGGCAGTGACAAGAGAAAATGAGGAGAAGCAGAAGCAGAAATCCCTGATAAATCCATCAGATCTTCTGAGACTTATTCACTATCACTAGAATAGCATGGGAAAGACCTGCAGCCATGATATAATTACCCCTGGGTCCCTCCCACACCACATGGGAATTCTGGGAGAGACAATTCAGGTTGAGATTTGGGTGGGGACACAGCCAAACAATATCATTCTATCTCTGGCCTCTCCAAATCTCATGTTCTCACATTTCAAAACCAATCATGCCTTCCCAACAGTCCCCAAAAGTCTTAACTCATTTCAGCATTAACCCAAAAGTCCACAGTCCAAAGTCTCATCTGAGACAAGGCAAGTGCCTTCCACCTATGAGCCTATAAAATCAAAAACAAGCTAGTTACTTCCTAGATACAATGGGGGTACAGGTATTGGGTAAATACAACTGTTTCAAATGGGAGAAATTGGCCAGAACAAAGGGGTTACAGGGCCCATGCAAGTCCAAAATTCAGCAGGGAAGTCAAATTTTAAAGCTCCAAAATGATCTCCTTTGACTCCAGGTCTCACATCCAGGACACAATGATGCGAGAGGTGGGTTCCCATGGTCTTGGGCACCTCTGCCCCTGTGGCTTTGCAGGGTACACCCTCCCTCCCAGCTGTTTCCATGGGCTGGTATTGAGTGTCTGTGGCTTTTCCAGGGGCATGGTGCAAGCTGTCAGTGGAGCTACCATTTTGGCATCTGGAGGATGGTGGCCTTCTTTTCACAGCTCCACTAGGCAGTGCCCCAGTAGGGACTCTGTGTGGGGGCTCTGATTCCACATTTCCCTTCCATACTGCCATAGCAGAGGTTCTCCATGACAGCCCCACCCCTGCAGCAAACTTTTGCCTGGGCATCCAGGCATTTCCATACATCTTCTGAAATCTAGGTGGAGGTTCCCAAACATCAATTCTTGACTTCTATGCAGCCACAGGCTCAATACCACTTGGAAGCTGCCAAGGCTTTGGGCTTCCACCCTCTGAGGCTACAGCCAGGGCTCTACACTGGCCCGTTTCAGCCGTGGCTGGAGTGGCTGCAACACAGAGCACCAAGGCCCTAGGATGCACAGAGCATGGGGACCCTGGGCCCCATCCACAAAACCACTTTTTCCTCCTGGGCCTCCAGGCCTGTGATGGGAGAGACTTCTGTGAAGGTCTCTGACATGCCCTGGAGATATTTTCCCCATGGTCTTGGAGATTAATACTAGGCTTCTTGCTACTTTTGCAAGTTTCTGCAGCCAGCTTGAATTTCTCCTCAAAAAATGTTTTTTTTTTTTTTTCATTTTTTTTTGAGAGAGTCTCACTCTGTTGCCAGGCTGGAGTGCAGTGGTGCAATCTCGGCTCACTGCAACTTCCTCCTCCTGGGTTCAAGCGATTCTCCTGCCTCAGCCTCCCAAGTAGCTGGGATTACAAGCACGCACCACCATGCCCAGCTAATTTTTGTATTTTTAGTAGAGACGGGGTTTCACCATGTTGGCCAGGATGGTCTCAATCTCCTGACCTCACGATCCACCTGCCTCAGCCCCCATAGTGCTGGGATTACAGATGTGAGCTTTTCTACTGCATCATCAGGGTGCACATTTTCTGAACTTTTATGCTTTGTTTCCTTTTTTAAAATGGAATGCTTTTAACAGCACCCAAGTCATCTTTTGAGTGCTTTGCTGCTTAGAAATTTCTTCTGCCACATACCCTAAATCATCTTTCTCAAGGTCAAACTTCCACAAATATCTAGGGCAGGGTCAAAATGCTGTCAGTCTCTTTGCTAAAACATAACAAGAGTCACCTTTGCTCCAGTTCCCAACAAGTTCCTCATCTCCATCTGAGGCCACTTCAGCCTGGACCTTATTGTTCATATCACTATCAGCATTTTTGTTAAAGCCATTTAACAAGTTTCTAGGAGGTTCCAAACTTTCCCACATTTTCCTGTCATCTGAGCCCTCCAAACTGTTCCAACCTCTGCCTCTTACCCAGTTACAAAATTGCTTCCACATTTTTGGGTATCTTTTCAGCAATGCCCCACTCTACTGGTATAAATTTACTGTATTAGTCCATTTTGACACTGCTGATAAAGACACAGCAGACTGAGAAGGAAAAGAGTTTTAACTGGACGTACAGTTCCACATGGCTGGGGAGGCCTCAGAACTGTGGAAAGAGATGAAAGGCACTTCTTACATCGCAGTGGCAAGAGAAGATGAGGAGAAGCAAAAGTGGAAACCCCTGATAAACCCATCAGATCTCTTGAGACTTATTCACTATCACAAGAATAGCATGGGAAAGGCCCAATCCCATGTTTACCTCCCCCTGTGTCCCTCCCACAACACATGGGAATTCTGGGAGATACAGTTCAAGTTGAGATTTGAGTGGGGACACAGCCAAACCATATCAATAGGTTTTTGGGGAATGGGTGGTGTTCAGTCATATGGAAAAGTTCTTTAGTGGTGATTTCTGAGATTTTGGTGCACCCATCGCCCAACCAGTGTACATTGCATCAACGTGTAGTCTTTTAACCCTCAGCCCCCAACCCTTCCCTCCAAGTCCCTAGAGTCCATTATGTCATTCTTTTGACTTTGCATCCTCATAACTTAGCTTCCACTCATATGTGAGAGCATATAATATTAGGTTTTACATCTCTGTGTTACTTCACTTACAATAGTGGTCTTCAGTTCCATCCAGGTCGCTGTGAATGCCATTATTTCATTCACTTTTATGAATGAGCAGTATTCCATTGTGAATACATATATATATAATTGATTGATGAGCTTTGGGGCTGGTTCCATGTTTTTGCAATTGTGAATTGTGCTGCTATAAACATGCATGTGCAAGTGTCTTTTTCATCTAATGACTTCTTTCCCTCTGGGTAGATACCAGTAGTGGGATTGCTGGATCCAATAGTAGTTTAGTTCTACTTTTAGTTATTTAAGGAAACTCCATACTCTTTTCCATAGTGGTTGTACTAGTTTACATCACCACCAGCAGTGTAGAAGTGTTCCCTTTTCACCACATCCACACCAACACCTATTATTTTTTGATATTTTAATTAAGGCCATTCCTGCAGGAGTAAGCTGGTATCGCATTGTCCTTTTGATTTGCATTTCCATGATAATTAGTGATGTTGAGCATTTTTTCATATGTTTGTTGGCCATTTGTATATCTTACCAAAATAGCATGGTACTGGTATAAAAGCAAGCATGCAGACCAATGGAACAGAATAGAGAACCCAGAAATAAAGCCAAATACTTACAGCCAAGTTATCTTCAACAAAGCGACCAAAAACATGAAGTTGGGAAAGGACGCCCTATTTAACAAATGGGATAATTGGCAAGACACTGTGGGAGAATGAAACTGGAACCTCATCTCTCACCTTGTACAAAAATCAACTCAAGATGGACCAAGACCTTAATCTAAGACCTGAAACCATAAAAATTCTAGAATTTAACATCAGAAAAGCTCTTCTAGATATTGGCCTGTGCAAAGAGTTCATGATCAGGAAACCAAAAGCAAATGCAACCAAAACAAAGATAAATAGATGGAACTTAATTAAACTAAAAAGCTCCTGCACAACAAAATAAATAATCAGCAGAGTAAGCAGACAATCCAGAGTGGGAGAAAATCTTCTCAATCTATGCATCCAACAAAGGACTAATATTCAGAATCTACAAGGAACTCAATCAAATCAGCAAGAAAAAAAATTCCCATCAAAAAGTGGGCTAAAAGGCATGAATAGACAATTCTCAAAAGAAGATATAGTGCCATAGTCATACGGTGACTTTCCTTTGGTTACTTATGTTTGGATACAAAAATACTTACTATTGTGTTACAATTGCCTTCAGTATTCAGTAAAGTAACAATGCTGCACAGGTTAGTAGTCTACTAGCAGTAGGATATTCCGTGTAGCCTAGGTGCGTAGTAGGCTACCTCATCTAGGTTTGTGTAAGTACATCTTATAATATTTGCACAATGACAAAATCTGCTAAAGATGCTTTTCTCAGAACAGATCCCCATCGGTAAGTGACATATGACTATATTCAGAAGGCAGAATAACAGAATCTGATCATTAATAGGATGTGAGCAATGAGAAGGTTGGACAAAATAAAGAAGCACTTTAATTTTGTAGAGTCAGCAAATATAAAATCCTCTTGAGACGTAAGATAACACAAACTGCTCATTAGAGTGTGGAATTTTACATTTTGTTAATTTTCCCCTAGTGGATGAGCTAAACATATTGCATAATGTAACATAACAATAAATATTCCTCTCTGTAGGGAACTGAGTGATTGGCCTGGGCAGAGACTCTCCCCTGCCATTCCTACCTTCCCTGGTCCAGTTTGGCTCAGCAAAGGAACCTTCTCATGCTAGATGCTGGTGCCATCAGAAGCAAGGAGAAATATAAACCACCATAATAGAACAAAGTGGGGAATTTTGCTGGCCCAGTGGCTTACCACACACTAGTTTGGATGGCAGTAGGGGAGGATTTTTTGGATTTGGTTGACAAATAACTAAATTATACAGATTAGGAGGTCAAATGATTACCTACCACCTTGGTGCCATTATATCCTTCCACGGAGCCTGAGTGGGAAAATATAGCTGTGGATTAATAAACTGGAGATTGTACTAAAGCCGTCCTTGATACAGGTTTCCCTCATGAAAATATACTGAACCCTTTATTTGCTTCTGAAAAGCAATTTTAAAATCCAAGAATGAAAGAACAATATCTATTGGTTGCAAAAGTTGTAGCTGGGGTGTGTGTGTGTGTGTGTGTGTGTGTGTGTGTGTGTGTGTAACTTGCCTGTGTAACAACTCGAGTACACCTAACACTGACCCCTTTCTCCCAATCCAGGTTAGTAGGTCAGGATATGTATTAGTATGTATTTGTCTGGTCTTGCCTTGCTGTAAAGAAATACCTGAGACTGGATAGTTTATAAAGAAAAGCTGTTTACTTGCTCACAGTCTCAGGCTGTACAAACATGGTGCTGGTATCTGCTTGGCTTCTGGTGAGGCCTCAGGGAGCTTTTCCTTATGGCAGAAGGCAAAGCGAGGGACAGGCACATCACATGGTAATAGCAGGAGCAAGAAAAGAGAGAGGGGGGAGATCCCAGGCTCTTTTAAACAACAAGATCTTGTGTGAATTTACTGAGCAAGAGCGCACTCATCACTAAGGGGATCGTGCTAAACCAAGATATAAGTTATCTCTTACCAGATCAGTAGCAGGGCTCTTACCAGATCAGTAGCAGTGAAGTATGGATAAAGTCTTATTTCTCAGTGATCTAGTACCAGCTTTCTATACACCGTCCTTGTACGTGGCCTCTTGGATACCCTGGGGAAATCAGGAGTGTAGTTTGCAATAAGGGATCTTCATTGATACCTTCTTTATCATCAGCAAAGAGCAGCTCATGACTATCTGATAGCTAGGCTAGTGGATATGCTCAGAAACTCCCTTATATTCACCTCCCTAGATCACAGTTTAGTTAATTCTGCTGCAGCATAATTGGGCATCTTCTTAACAAGAGGTAATCTATACTATGGTAACAAGGAGATGCTAAACTGTTATATTAGAAGAAACAAATTAAGTCACCTAAGACCTATTGCTTGTGAAGAAAATGCAAATGTTCTAGGTTACTTATCTCTGAAAAAAAATTCTATATACCAAACTACATAAAAATTAATTCCTAACATCCAAGTATATTGTTTATGTATCTGTGTATTCATTCAAAATATTCAAAGTTTGGTGAGATTACAGAAGCTAGATTACAAAAGGCAAGTTGAGTTGTTTTTATTTAACTCCCAGAAAAATAAGTCATTTAACATTATTAAATTATGGAAATGAGTTCATGTATCTCTATATACATACCTTGAGATGCAATTTTTATAACGACACGTTATGTTGCAAAAATAAGACATGCATTTTTTGTGTTCTTGACTATTTCTGGAACATTGGCAAGTTTTCACCACTATTATACATATTTACTTATCTTTGTCTAAAAATGTATTATTTCACACATTGGATATTAATCTTTGTATGTATGTCTATTTTTGTAACGACCTCTCTTGAAGACTGATTCAATTTATTTTAATTTTTCAGTTAGCTGAAAATCGCAAGTTTTTATGGGAATGAAAGTAATTATGTTCTCTGCATGGATTTATTCGAAATTCAAATGAAAACAAAACCTAATGCTACAGTAAGACAATTTATGGAGAAATATTAATCACAGTGCCTCATTAATTAATTCATTTCACCTTCAAAGTACATCCGTGATGTGGTGATATTTGAAATTTTTCTCCTTTATATTTTATACTTTTAGTATGAGGTAAATGTGTAAAAAAAAATGATGTACTGATTCCTGCTGCTTTCTTGAGCAAAACAAAATTAAGCCTATCTACCTGAATTAGTAATAAAATGGTTGAAAAAGGGAATAATTTACAAAACTGATCTTGTGTCAGTCAGTGACCAACCATTGAGAAGTCAAGTGTCTGATTTCATAAATAAATAAGGCAGATCAACTCACCTATTAACAGAAAATGTGTGTTTAAAATTCTTGTGAGGAAATTTAATGATTTTTGACCTGGCAATAGTATTTTAGAGGAATACATTTGAATTTATACCACACAAGTTGGTCTTTGGTAGGGAGTCAAGTAATAACTACATTTTGATTGTAATGTTTTCTGAAACATGTGGATCTGGAGCAATTGTGATGAAATGGATACTCATTGGCAGAGCACAGGTCTGGGCAAGACAGATCTCCAGCAGGTACCAACCCAGACAATTGTTATCTCGTGAACTGTGTTGAAGACCCTCAGCAATTTTATCCGAGGAACGTAGCTCATTCTTTTGAATACATGGAGTTGTGAGGATTAAATGAAGTAGTTTTTCAGTGTGCCCATGTGCGTGACAAGCACTGTGGCAGACACACACATCCCTCACCGAGAGCCTTTGCTGATGTATAACCCCAAATTTCTGTGAGGTGGAGGTCTCAGGCCTAATACTTCTAAGACTATAATAATTGAGTCTTAGGAAAAGAAACGAAAGATTGAACATGAAATCTTATGGTAATTTATTACAAAGTACTAAGGGAAGTAGTATTGAAGTCACATGTGAACGTAGAAAAAGGAGAGAAAGCAGTGTGGGTGGAAGGAAAAGCAAAATTCAGGGAGGTCGCTTTGAAGCACTCCTGTGTAGTCAGCCTGAAAATGAGCTCCCGCTTCTTGTTGTTTTCTCTTTCTGATGATTGGCTCTTTAAGGAGCAGTTTTCATGGAAGACGTGTTGACGTAAAAGCTTTCCCCACAGTCTCCTTGACTTCCTGCCCCAGCTCCGCTGCAATTAAACGCTTGACTTTCTCCAGATCTCAGTCTCTGTCTGTAAAATAAAAATTACAAATATACTCTCCTGATAGGGTTGTGGTAAAAAGTCAACGAGAACATGCAAAGACAGCATTCTTTTTTTCTTTCTTTTTTCTTTTTTTTTAGATGGCATTAACCCAGGCTGGAGTGCAGTGACATAATCTCAGCTCACTGCAACCTCCGCCTCCTGAGTTCAAGCAATTCTCCTGCCTCAGCCTCCTGAGTAGCTGGGATCACAGGCACGCACCACCACGCCAGGCTAATTTTTGTATTATTAGCAGAGACGGGGTTTCACCATGTTGGCCAGGCTGATCTCAAACTCCTGACCTCAGGTGATCCACCCGCCTCAGCCTCCCAAAGTGCTGGGATTACAAGCGTGAGCCACTGTGCCCGGCCAGAGACAGCATTTGACATAGTAATAGTACCAGCACAATATCAATAAACTTGTTATTAAACCTTGAACATTCTCACATTGGCTGTTTTTTTTTTTTTTTTTTACTGTGTAGTTTTTCCAGAAGCAAGCTGGTCCGCATACGAGTAGAATGACTAGTGAGCCTTGGGTAGCTCTGAGTCTGAGAAGCTTTCCTTTAGCCTTTTCTTTGGCAAGGACCTGGACAGGGGTTGCCAGAGGGTTCAACTCTGAGGCCAGGTTGTGAGGGGTGAAAAGCATAAACAATTCTGTTTTCTTTCTCCTTGAGAAAATATACCATTTCAGCTCTCATATCTCTTAAAGGAATATTTTATTTACTTAAAAATGTAATCTGATTGCCAGAAGGACTTTTGTCCTGCTAAGAACACAGACAATTATATGTAGCTACTTCTCTTTATGAAGTAAATAGGAAATTTTACATAACAAAAATAGCAGTGGTTGTATGTACAAATATAAGTTATTTGAATTTCTAAAGTCAGTACTTCAATTATTCCCTTAAATTAAATCAAATATTTTAATGGTCATTTATATTTACTTTATCGAATCTAAATTGTTATTGTCCACATTGGAATAAAGTGAATAGGTGTGAAATAGTGGATAATTAAGTGAATAGAATAGGTGTGAAATGGTGGATAATTTTTTTTTCAACCTCTGCCTCCCAGGATCAAGCAATTCTCCTGCCTCAGGCTCCCGAGTAGCTGGGATTACAGGCATGCACCACCACACCTGGGTAACTTTTGTATTTTTTAGTAGAGATGGGGTTTTTCCATGTTGGTCAGGCTGGTCTCAATCTCCCAAACTCAGGTGATCTGCCTGCCTTGGCCTCCGAGAGTGCTGGGATTACAGGCATGAGCCACCGTGCCGGGCCCAATTTTATCCCCTATTGTATGAAATCTTTCTAATCCATGCTTATAATATAAATGTATAATATTATATATATTATATGTTTATTATATATCATAATATATATTTTATATCGTATTATACTTCTCAATTTGGATGGAATTTTTTTAAAAACTAGATAGCTTTAAACATTAGTTATGTTTTTTGAAACCCACCAAAGCAATTAAGTATTGCATAAATATGCTTTTTAGAAACCATACATTTAAAGTATTAAGCAAAAAGTCTATCAAGATGGCTATAACTCTTCAATATACAGTAATCGTGAGTGTCATTGGTTGCACCTTGCACTGTATAAGATGTGGGGAGAGGAAAGCTGCTTCTGCTCAGACAGTCCCCAAAGCATCTGGAGGGCCGCATTGTGACTGACACGTATTCTTCTCCCCGTAACAGACCACACTCCCTCAGGTTTCTAATTTTTATTCCTTTTTTGGACTGCAGCTATAAATGTTTCCTTGGTGGGTTTAGAGGACCTCTGTGGCACCTGTCAACAGTCTGCAGTTCTGTTACTGACCTGATTAACTCTCCAGTTGTCTTCTGGGCAGTACTCTCCTGGCATACAGCTACAAAGAATGTGGCATTTCATTTTATCCCAGGAACGGGGCAAGTAGGACCTGATGGAGTTAAGATTATACAAAATGGGAGTGGAGAGTGCAGGTGACTTAGAATTAGATAATAGAGGGAGTGTTAACACACTGCAAGAGAGTTAGGAAGGTTTTAAATTATGAAAAATAATTAACAGTTAATAATCATCAACACAATAATTATAGCTGTGGTTTAGCAGATAAGTATGGCTTAGAGAATAATAAAACTAAGCGAAAATATTGAGAGTTTTCTATGTGCCAGATATTCTTCTAAGCTCTAAGCATTACATACATTATTTAATTTAAGCATATAAACAAACAAAATATCTGTGAGATGTGATTTTTATTCTCACTGCAATACTATTCCCTTAACAGCGTATTCTGGAAATAATGGTCCCAAGTAAAATGAACACCCAATAACCCTTGTCAAAACACAATCAAGAAGCGTAATATTTCCTTGTGACCCAAACAAAAGTATATTTGATTCTTTAGAAAATTTTGGCTATTGAGCCGGGCTTGGTGGCTCATGCCTGTAATCCCAGCACTTTGGGAGGCCGAGGCGAGTGGATCATGAGGTCAGGAGTTCAAGACCAGCCTGGCCAAGATGGTGAAACCCTGTCTCTACTAAAAATACAAAAAATTAGCCAGGTGTGGTGGCAGGCGCCTATGATCCCAGCTACTCAGAGGCTGAAGTAGGAGAATTGCTTGAACTCAGAGGGCAGAGGTTGCAGTGAGCCGAGATTGAGCCACTGCACTCCAGCCAGGGCGACAGAGTGAGACTCTTTAACAAAAAAAAAAAAAAAAAGAAAAAAAGAAAAAAGAAAAAAAGAAAATTTGGGCTATTGGCTAAGTGTTTTTTAGAAAGATTAAGAGATTATTTACATGCTTCTTTGGATTTCAGATAAATGAAAATGAAGCGTGGTGAAATAAAAAATAGGCTCATGATATTCCCACTCTGCCACTAAATAAGCAGCCTTGGGCAAGTCATTGTCCCCTGGGGCCCCAGTTACTGGCCTGTTCTCTAAGTGGTGGTCCAGCTGTATGAAACTACAGCTACAAAATTACTTAAGTGAACAATCAATACTTTACAAATTTTACAAAATGATTTTCAAACCTAGCATGTGCAAGTCTTTTGCCCCCCTTTTTCTTTTTTGCATTTTCACAAGTTCTCAGTTAAGTTTCCACCATGAGTAAACAACACTTGGCAGTTTGTAACAGACGAAGCAATAACTACCTTTTACTGAATATCACGATTGCAGTTCAGAATAAAAATGGCCTGGGTATGCTGATTTCTCTGGGTGAGGAGTTGATATTTTTGAGTTTAAAGAAGTTGCACTAGCCTCAAAAAAGTTTAAGACAAATGCCAAATTTTGTTGATACGTCACGCTAAAACAGAAAACAGCTGTGTGTTTTAATAGAATAATTTCAGACCGTTTTATTCTAAAAAGATGTGTAAATGTAGGTGCCCACCTCTTCATTCTTCTGGCATTGGTTATTAACCATTAGCTGATAATAGTAAGCAAAATGAAGTTAGCGACGTTTACCAGATAGCAGTTGGAAGTCATTACTTATGTTTTTATTATTATTTGAACATACAGACACCCTAATACATTTTACAATGATCTCAGTCCATTTTGTGTTGCTATAAAGAAATATCTGAGACTGGGTAATTAAAAGAAATTTACTTGGCTCATGTTTCTGATGTCTTGTACAGTTCAGGATTGGACACCTGCATTTGGTGAGGGCCTCAGGTTCCTTCCACTCATGGTGGAAGGTGAAGGGGAGTTGGTTTGTGCAGAGATCACAGGGTGACAGAGCAAGAAAGAGCAAGACAGGGGAGGTGCCTATCTCTTTGTAACAAGTAGCTCCCCAGAGAAATGATAGAGTGAGAATTCACTCACCGTGCCCCCAACCAGGGAAGGCATTAGCCTATTCATGAGCAATCTACCTCCCATTGGACCCCACTTCCAATATCAAATCTCAACATGAGATTTAGCAGAGACAGAAAACCCATATGCAAACTATAGCAAAAGTCTTTGTCAATCTAAGTCTTGACCTGTTTACTTTCTGTAAATTATCTACACATTACATTATAAGGGTGACTGAGGATATGCAAATAATATTAACAACTGTCATCAAATATTATGTGCAAGATACTTAAGGGGAATCTATGTTACTTGGACAAAAGAGTAAAGGATCTCATTTAAAATTTCTTCTGTGCTATATGGAATTTTATTTATCTTTACATTAATCTCTGTAAAATCATTAACACAATTATTTTCCTACTGATGCGTTGTGCCTCATTTAATTTTTGGTGTCTCAGTCAGGTATGTAATTATTGAAAAACCACACATGAAAGAAGCATGTCCACTGGCACGCAGTCACAGAGGACAGCCAAGCCAGTGCTTAGTTGTGAATACAGTTGCCCTGCTCTGGTGGCTTGGCCTTCTTGAACTGCTTTGCTCCCTTTACAGAATCATCAATTGGTCTAGGGGCTGAGTCAATGAAGAAATGCAGCCCTGTCCAGAGACAGCCTTCAGTGACCCTGTGAACAGTAGCCACGTTCATGTTCACATGTGCTCACTCTTTACAGTCTCTAAAAATTCTATTTTTTTATTGCTCTATGTTTCCTCTATTTAACCAGGTACAATCCTCATGAGAGAAAATAAGGGCAGAGGGGATGGGTACTGGAAAGGTATTTTAATGTCTCTCTTTACCAGAAAGAAAAGTATCAATTTCCCTTATAGAATGTTGGAGAGTCCAGACCAATGAGAATTACTTTTATAATCATAATAGAGAAATATAATTAGATGATAATATGAAGAACAATTCAAGCTGGTTAATTAAATGTAAAATGGGTTCCCAAACAGCTCTGTCTTTAACTTTTATGCCAATAATAATGAATCCTGTGATTATATTTTGTGTGTATACAAATTTCATTTTGTTTTAGTAGAGACTTACTTGAGATTGATTGTCATTTTTTTTCTTTAATAGGAAAACATCATTTAAAATAGTATTAAGTGCATAGTAGAGCAACGATGCAATTTCATTTTTGAAAGGAAGATAAGGTACTAATTCAGTATAATATAATGTGAGATTTGGATGTGTTTTCTCTCATTCTTGGGTTGACCAAAGTGTGGGGAATTTTTATGGCTTTTCCTAATAACAAAGCAAATATCTAGCAGAAGAAATAATTATAACCAGTTTCTCTTACTACTTCCCAATATGTTTCTGCTGTGGTATAATTTGTTTCACCTATTTAAATGAATGGCTCCATGATGCTAGCTGATGTCTTTCAAAAAATCATTGCATGAATCAGATGAACTCATTTAAAAGGAAGAAAAATGAATTACCTGACTTTTTAAATATGTATGTATTTTCTGTCATAAGTCATCCAAAAAATTGCACTTAACCAACTTTTTAATTAAAAAGCGTGATTTTTTTTTTAAGTTGGGCTCTTGCTACTTAATTGGGAAAAGAGGCTGTAACTAGCAGAATCAGCTGAGGGGCTGTCTTCATCTCATTAGACACCGCTTAGCAGGAGAGTCCAGTAGTAATGTTAAGAAATGCAGGTGAGGGGAAACAGAAGTTTTTATTTCATGTAGACTATAGTTATAAAAAAACATATGGATTATCACCAATATTTTATAGCTTTGGGGGTATCATTAATTTGGGGATCAAAAGTAGAAGTATTGAAATAAGTAGTTTCCTAAACATGTTAAAATCGAAGGGCACCCTTGGCTGTACAATTACTTCCACAATGTCCATTCATTCACTGTTTAGTCATATAGTGCCTTCTATGTGCTCACATAACAGTGAATTCTTTGAACTTGGTCCAAATCCTAAGAATCATTACTACTCATTGTTCTGTTCTTATTTCTCTTCTTGTTTTACATTCTTGGGTGATATCCTCATCCCATACGACCTCAAGAAGGATCTCTGTGGTGATGGTTAATCAAGAATAAGCAAGATGCTTGATTCTAGGTGCGAGATGTTTGATTAGCAGAGCGATTCAAAGAGATGTTTGACATTAATCCTTATTTTGGAAAACAAGTGTGTCAGAATTTTCCTGTAACAAAGCCCACACACTCAGTGGGACAAAATGACATACGCTGTATCACATGATCCTGGGTCTGCAGGTCAGTGGGGTGGCGCTGCCTCTTCGTGCTGCTGGTCGGCAGGTCACTTTCCTGGGTACCTAATCAGGAGCCTGAAGGGATGATGGCAATTCAAGAGACACTTGTCTCATGCATCGGTTGGAAGTACGTGAGAGCAAGTGCCCGTCAAGCAGACGCATTTCAAGGCTCTGCTGGTATCATCTCCAAACAACTCTTTGACCAATGTAAGTCACAGGACTGAGCTCAAAATCAAAAAGGAGGAGTTCTTTTGTCCCTCATGGTGTGGTAGGGGTGCATGGAAATATTTTAAAACAATAAGCTAATCTCCCACCATACAAGGAAGGATAATGATTAATGAGCATGTGTCTAACTGGAGACAATAGCACAAGAGTAATATAACTAAACTTAATGAGGCAGAAGAAAGGGGAGATAAAGATAGCAGCATATGTTTATGACATAGAATACCAAAACATAATTGAGATGGTCAACAAAGCCAAAAGTTGATTTTCAATAATAACATTAAATATAGTCAAATGGGAAATTTGATTATGAAGTAGAAAGGATAGAGAAAGACAGAGAGAGAAAGAGAGAGAGAGAGAGAGAGAATGAGAATGCACTTAGTTTTCCACTGCTTTATTCTTGTTTTAATTCACTGGTGTGTGTGTGTGTGCGTGTGGGTGTGTGTGTGTTGATATGGGGGACATGTAGACACTTTTTATTTGCTTTGTTATCCTAACAAAAGAGTGTATATATATATGTTTGTATTTGTTTTAATTTTCCAGAATCTAGCTGTACTATAGTTGCTAGACCCTGCAGTGTGTCCAGTTTGTCATATTTCTGAAAACTAAAGTCTCTAACACTTCACAGATCCCAGAATGTATGTGACTGATTCAGGAATGGGCCCTGGAGATGGAGGGATTAAATCTTCCCTGTGCTTGCTTTAGTTGTGGCACAGAGAGGACTCTGTGTGTGAAGGAATGCGGCCTTTACCTGAGAGAGTGCACTGGAAAAAAACACTATCTTTGCACTGTTACAGCAAATAGAGCACTTGGAGTGTGGGTGTGGGGATTAATAGGGCCCAGGTGGTGCTGAAGCAGACAAGCACCTCCTTCCCTTCTCAGGCTGTATGGGACTGTTCCCTGAAAGCTGCCTCCTCTAATAGTGATCCTGAAGACAATGGCTTTGCACACTTGGCAGGTAATACCCTAGGCTCTCTATCCTGTTTTCGTAGGCACCAGACAGGGTGGGGTTGCAGTAACAAATATTTTATTTTCTATGTCTCATTCTCTCCTGAGTGACAAAGCATTTTAAAGAGGAGAAGATGAGCATCCCAATATCTAAAATGTCTAGTTGAGTTTGACAATGACATATCACCCATAAAAGCTGCAGTGATGAGGCAAACTCAGAATTGTAGAGGTGAGCAGGTGTGCATGTGCATGCGCAACTGTGTGTTGTGACTACAATTTTGGCAAAAATTTACTTCCAGTTGTGTGCTAGATCTTAAAGTATAAAAATGAAAAGTTAGGTGAAGAGGAAGGTGAAGGAAAATGTTGCAAGCAGCGAGGATGACATAGGACATACTTAAGGGCTCTGAAGCAGGAATATATGTGCTAATTTCTAAAATAAATTAGCATAACAGGAAGCACGACTAGAGAGTTAGGCAGAAACCATTTTCTGGGGTCACTTGAACTTTTTAAGAAGTTTTCATACTCCATCCTGCCATTGCCGCCTCCATCTTTTCTTGAGACAGCGTCTTGTTCTGTCACCCAGGCTAGAGTGCAGTGGCATGATCAAAACTCACTGCAGCCTCAAACTCCTGGGCTCAAGCGATCTTCCCTCCTCAGCTTCCTGAGTGGCTGGGTATAGGTGTACACCACCCCACCCAGTTGATTAAAAAAAGTGTTTTTTTTGTAGAGATGGAGTCTTGCTGTGTCACCCAGGCTGGTCTCGAATTTCCAGCCTCAATCTTCCAGCCTCAGCCTCCCAAAACTCCAAGGTTACAGATGTGAGCCACTGTGCTCAGCCATCAGTTCTGATTCTAATGTTATTTCCTCCAAGTCCTTATTCTTAGAACATATGTTAAGAGTTGAGTATTTTCACACCTGTGAAATCCAGTATATGAAACCACTGGTTTCAGGAAATACCTTTCTATCTTTCTATTACTATGTCTTGAGTCAGAAGGAAAAAGACTGACGGATCATATGAGGAGATAGTTATTAATGAAATGACTCTAGGATAGCCATGCTAAGAACTTAATGAATTTAAATGCCCGTTTTTGTGGCAGGAAGCATAGAAAACATATATGAAATCTTTTGCTATCACTTTTACATTAGCTTTCTGATAATATTCATATACATACACACACGCATGCATGTACATATATGTGCAGTTCACCCTTGAGCAACATGGGTTTCAACTGCACAGGTCACTTACAAATGAATTTTTTCCAATAAAAGTTACACAGAATGTGCCTGCCTCTGCTGTCTCCCCCTCCTCCTCCTCCACTTCTTCATCTGCCACATCTGAGACAGCAAGACCAACCCCTCCTCTTCCTCCTCCTCCTCAGTCTACTCAGTGTGAAGATGATGAGGATGAAGACCTTCACAATGATCCACTTCTACTTACTGACTAGTAAATATATTTTCTCTTCCTTACGATTTTCTTAATAACATTTTCTTTTCTCTAGCTTACTTTACAGTAAACTTACAGTGTATAATATATATAACATACACAATATGTGTTAATTGACTCTTTATGCTATTGGAAGGCTTCCAGTCAGCAGTAGGCTATTGCGACTTAATTTTGGGGAAAGTCAAAAGTCGTATGTTAATTTTCAACTTTGGAAAGGGAGTAGGCACTCTGCATTGTTCAAGTGTCAACTCTATTTCTGGTAAGCTCAGAAAAAGATTCTTTTTCTATATGACTCTTCTGGTGTCCTTTTCTTGTTTTAATAGTTTGAGAAGCTAGCCAGTGTAAAATTTATCTCGAATAAGATTATTAAAAATGTGTTTACTAGGTCTTTGCTATAAGAGCCTTTTAACTTAGAGAATCTACACTGGGCAACCAAAGACCCTTGAAAACATCAGAGTCCAAGTTGAAAGGGCAATGATACAGTTTGGCTGTGTCCCCACCCAAATCTCACCTTGAATTTTAGTTCCTATAATCCCCATGTGTGGTGGGAGGAACCCGGTGGGAGGTAATTGAATCATGGTGGCAGTTTCTTCCATGCTATTCTTGTGATAGTAAGTTCTCACAAGATCTGATGGTTTTATAAGGGGCTTCCCCCTTTGCTTGGCTCTCATTCTAATCTCTCCTGCTGCCATGTGAAGAAGGACATGTTTGCTTTCCCTTCTGACATGACTGTAAGTTTCCTGAAGCCTCCTCAGCCCTGTGGAACTGTGAGTCAATTAAACCTCTTTCCTTTATGAATTACCCACTCCAGGCTATTTCTTTATAGCAGCATGAGAACGGACAAATACAGGTGGTACTCTTGACGTCTATACTGTGAGACTTGGCCCTACTGGGGAAATATTCTGAGGCACAGGACTGAGGCTAAATGATAGGATCTCACTTAATGGAAAGGGTATCATTTCCTCCTTTTGTGTATATGTACAAAAGCCATCTTAAATCACCTCTGGAAAAAGTATGTATAAATGAATAAGTAAATAATAAATATCCAGCAGTTACTCTTAATTCTATGGTGTCCATTTCTATACCAAAAAAAAAGTCCTTTTGTGGAATCTACATGTTGCCAATCATAACATTTATCTTAAGTCACTATGAACAAATTATTTAAGAAAAAATATGTGAACTTGAAGCAGATACTAATCATTTTAAGGGGGAAAATTTGGAGTTGAGAGACAAAGCTCAATGGGGAAGAAGAACTACAGATGTCTGCAACACAGCCAAGGAGACAACAATGAAACACTATCAAAATCTTCCCAGGCCTTGGGGAAGGAGTTCAGTCATGGGGCATATTAGCAGATGTGGAATGGGGTGTTGGCCAATCTAGTTTAAAAAGTAAATATTCATTATCTGTGTGAAGCTAAGATTTCAAAACGCTGACTCAGAAGAGTGGTGAAGGAATAACACTTACTTGATTTAGAGATTCTCTTTTTTTAATTATACTGGGCTAAACTAATACATTTAACCTCAACTGTTTTTATATTAAACATGCAGGTGGTTCTAACTGAAGTCAAAACAGAATAGAAATCAAGAATAAATACACACAGGCTTAAAAATGCAAAGTATGACTTTTTATGAAAAATAGTAAAATGTGTCTGCATTTGAATTAAGTCAAATAATGGAAGGTTGCACTTTCTGTTAACAACTTGACCTCAAAAAAAGGATAAAACAATTGACTGATACATTTTGTTACCGTGCTTTCTCTTTATAAAAACCCCATTAGTGAATGAATTAGCTATCCTTCTCTTGGTTAGAGTTTTGACTAGTTTATATGTTTACTGTTTGTGTAATTAACCTATTCATATTTAATAATTATTTTCACCACTGAGAATTTATTAGCATTTATATGACTATACCAAATTAAATTTATTTTCATTTCCCTTTGTCCATAGTACTTCTCCACATAGACCCTTGATACAATTACACTTGATCTGATGGTAACACAATTGGCAGTAAAATTCCAGAAATACACAAAAGCACTTTATTAAATTATGTGAATAATTGAAGCCCATTTTCTTCTGGATCCAAAATTATAATTTATGAAATATCATCACCATATATGATAATATATAAAATATATGTGTCTTCTTTACTCCTGGCATAACATTTGTAACACTATTTGTTTTTTGCCAATCTGGTTAGTATGAAGCGTCATCTCATCATTGTCATTTTAAAATAGAACTTCCTAGACTCCTCATTAAGTTGCCTATAGATTCATATAGGAATTTCTAATTTTGTAACATTAGAGCTAACTTATTTTATCCATTTTCAGGTTTGTATCTTTTTTATTTACAGATGATCTTCACAAATACATCAATATGACAAATATTTATTCCCTACTGTGTGCCAGGCATTGTTTTAAGCCTACTAGATACATATCAGGAAATTGCACAGACAAAACATCAGTGCCCTAATAAACTTAATTCCCATGCTGTGGAGCAGGGAGAGATAATATATAATAATCATAAATATTACATGGTGCCAAGTAGGAAAGCAGACAAGGAAAAGAGCATGAGGAAGCTGGGGGAGGTGATGTTGCTTGCAGTTTTTTTTAAGGCTACTCAGGATCAGTCTCCCTGAGGTGTCGCTTCATGGAAGTCTTACGGGAGTGCTCTATGAGGCAGTCTTTGGGAACAGTTTATCAGATAGGGGAAATGCCCGGTGGAAATCTCAGAAATAACTGTATTCCTGGCATATTCAACATATGTGAGGAGGTCAGCATGGATGGAACCCAATGGGTAATGGGAAGAGATGTAGGTGATGAGGTCCAAGAGGCAGCAGAGGGGCCAAATCCCACTAGACAGGTCAAGGCATTGCAGCGACTTTGCTTTTTTTTGTTACAGAATGGAGAGTCTTATGAGGTTTTGAGCAGAGGAATGTTGTAATCTGGCTTTTCTTTTTATATTCTGGTTGCTATGTTGAGAAAATTCTAGAGGGCCAGAGAGGAAACAAAAAGGCCAGTCAGGGGGTGACTATGACAATCCAAGGGAGAGATGTTGGTTTGTTTGAAGGAGGTTGTATTAGTCGGTTCTCACACTGCTAATAAAGACATACCTGAGACTGAGTAATTTATAAAGGAAAGAGATTTAATTGACTCACAGTTCCACATGGCTGCGGAGGCCTCACAATCATGGTGGAAGGTGAAGGGGAAGCAGGACACGTCTTACATGGTAGCAAGCAACAGAGCTTGTGCAGGGGAACCATCAGATCTCGTGAGACTTATTCACTACCATGAGAACAGTATGGGGGAATTGCCCCGATGTTTCAATTATCTCCACCTGGCCCCACCTTTGACATGTGGGGATTATTATAATTCAAGGTGAGATTTGGGTGGGGACACAGCGAAACCATATCAGTGGTAGTAGTGGCAGTCAGGAGAAATGCTAATAATTTATACGTATTTTGAAGGAAGAGATTTCCTGCTGTAGAACAATTCTCTGGGACTGACCCAATTTCCCCTTCTTTCTTGCTTTTCGATCTCAAGAATAACTGTAGAATATGCTGGGAATGCAACATCCTGAGATAGTGAGGGAATGGGCAGGATATCCCAGGCTCTGTTCCAGACCCCATCCTCCCCTTCCAAAACAAGAAATCTTTCAATGCTTTAGTCTGGTGCCCCGTGTGGCATCCAGGATGTAAAACCCAGTTGGGCTGCTTTCCGGGGTTCCTCAGCTGCAGTGTAAGTGGAAGGTTCCCCACTGAGACTCCATCTGCCCCAGGAGGCTTTCCTGAGTCTGGACAGACCTGCTTGCAATGCATGCAAGGCTTCTGCTGTCCCTTGCTGCCTATCTGTCAGTAATAAACTGGCTGCATGTGGGCGTTCAGTCTCGCCAGACTCAGAAAAGCAGGTAACCAATTCACGATGACACTGCTTCACAAAATTGATACAGTGAGCATGGTCTAGCCTGACAAAACTATGACCTACTGGTGCAGTGAGAGGGGTGGGGTGGGGGCAAAACCTTCCTCCCAGGTAGCTGGCCAAGGGTGAAAATGTCAGCCTGGGGATATTTTATGAGGAAGAAGAAATTACACGTAGGACATTGTAAATTTCCCCTTATGTCCTGTGTGTCCTGCAGAGAGAAAAGAATGTGGAAATAGGGGGGTGCAGTACACAGTTCCCTGGTTGTTGGGCACCTATGTGATTGCTCGTTCCTGAGGCTGGAAACCTCAAAAGGAGGTGCCCAGACGTGTGCTTCAGGCCTCCTTAGAAAGGGAGATGCACTATCGACAGGATGGATATGGAGAAAGGCTACACAAGTCCTATGTGGTTTGGTTTGTGTGCTTGATGAAGAGACGTTGCAACTCTAAATGTCTCAGGTGGAAAGGTAGGGGTAGGAATGGGGCCCCATCCTCTGAGTCTTCACTGGGGACTGATGGTTAAAATAAAAGGGTAAAAGAAAGGAATTCAGATTTTCTGGAGTTAGATACTGGAGCCCACAGGACACTATTTCCAGGTCCCCTTAGGAGAAAGATTAAGCTGATGACATTGGCAGATTCGGGGACAAACATGGTGCCCATGGTGCTTATATGCTTTTGGGTGAACCCTGTTGGCCATTTCAAGTGCTGGGGACCATGGTTTGCACCACAGAGTGCAATATAGGCATTGGCATGTTGGCTGCTGTGGCGCAGAACACCACTGCCACCTGAGGGAGATGCCTCCTCACAGCTAAGAATTGGATCCATAATACTGATGCAAACCCACTCTTACCTGTCCCCCAAGCTATGCAAGCTCCAATGGGTTATTCAACAAAATCCATACTGTACACTAAGTGAAAAAGTGCATTATTCAGTCAATTCAGGACTTGCTACAAGCAGAAATATTATAAGCAACCCTGACACAATGGAACAACTGAGTTTGGCTAGTAAAACAGGCCTTTGGGGTCTAGAGACTGACAATGGACTAATGCAGGCTGAATGCAGAGGCCACTTAGTAGGGAAGCAAATGGAATATGCCACATAAAACCAAGCAGATGTTGTTGGCCTTGATAGCACTCACTAACCAAGGTTATCCAACAACTGATATGTTTCTTTGGATACTAGAGAAAACATGGACCCACCTTGCTGCTCTGTTGACCTCCTTAGTCAAGGTGATCAACAAAGCCGTCCACAGTGAATGGGGCCCTTTGCAGCAGCAGGCCTTGGAAGCCATTCAATAAGCTGTGGCCCAGGCACTGCATCTGAAACCTTCACAGCCAGCGAGACTGATGGAATTACAGGCGTCTGAAACCTCCATGCATGCTAATTCCAAGTCCAAAACCCAGAGGCTCCCAGCTGGAACTCTAAGAGAACAGTAAGCTCCATGAACCAATGACAAACTTACTAGAAGGGACCAAGCAACTCACAGGGAATTATTTGGTTAATTGGGGTCCAAGACTGAGAAATGTGCCTTCCAATGATACGGCGTGGCTTTCTGACAGCTCTGCAAAACAACAAGCAGAGGGGTCCACTGGGTCGTGGCCACCATCTGGCCACAGGATGGTCATCTTTTGATTGAGACTGAACATGGAAGTTCCATCCAATGGACCAAACTCTGTGCAGTGGTGATGCCATGCCCCTGGAATTGGATGTGGTGTGTGAGAGAGGAGTCAAAGGTGGCTACAAAGTCTTGGTCTGAGAAACTGAACTGACAGGGTAAATTTGCAACCATTGAGGATGGCAAACTTGGGTGGACCAGATTTTGGAGAGGGGGGGTAGAGATTAAGAGTTTGTTTGTAGACATATTAATGACCATTCACCATGAATGAAGATGTCACTAAGCCGTTTGCAGTTCAGGGGAGACTTCAGGACTGGAAATATGTATTTTAGAGTTGTCTGCATAGAAATGTTACTTCAAGTCATTGACACTGGGTGAAATAAGCAAGGCAGCGCATGCAGATAGGGAAGAGATCTAACATTAATCCCCGGAGTGCTCTAACTAGAGTTAGATTTGGGGCAGATTGCAGGAAGACAAGGAAGGCAACAAAAAATACATCGTCTTATATATGTTGTGACAAATTGTATGGCTTTGTCTTTCTCATTTACATCTTTTTTCTTTTTTTGAAATGGAGTCTCTCTTTGTTGCCCAGGCTGGAGTGCAGTGACATGATCTCGACTCAATGCAACCTCCACCTCCTGGGTTCAAGTGATTCTCCTGCCTCAGCCTCCCTAGTAGCTGGGATTACAGGCGTGCACCACCATGCCCAGCTAATTTTTGTATTTTTAGTAGAGACAGAGTTTCACCAGTTGGCCAGGCTGGTCTCGCACTCCTGACCTCAGGTGATCTGCCTGCCTTGGCCTCCCAAAGTGTTGGGATTATAGGTGTGAGCCATCATGTCTGGCCCTCATTTACATCTTTAATTCACTGGGAATTGATTTTGTATTAAGTGTAATGTGATATTTTATGTTGTTATTTTCGCCTAATAACCTATTCTCCCAGAAGCATTTATGAATAAACTTTCATTTTCCTCTACCTAGCCAATGACAGACATGTACATAAGAATGTGAAGTTTCTGAAATCTGCAATTTGTCTCAAATACAAATTTGTTCTTGCTGTTTTTGTTCTGAGAGCACATATTCTTAAATACCTTAGGTTTATTAATCTTGATATCTGATAAAAAAAAGTTTTCTCATTTTTTAAAAGTCTGTCCTGGCTACTCATTTGCATATATGTTTTAAAATCAGCTGTTTCGTAAAAAATGGTTTGTTTTTCTTTTTTTGGAAATCTGTTGAATTTATACAATATTTGGTGACAACTGGCATCTAAAAGCATATTTCTAATATATTTTTAAAGCTTTAAATTTTTTTCAACAAACTTTTACACATATTTTAATAGACTTATGCCCAGGTCATTTCTCGTTGCAAATTTTAACTTCATATAATCACATTTTCTAACAGTAAGTTGCTGGTGTATTAAAGTTCAGTTTGAGATGTTCTATGTACCCAATCATATTATCAGTTATCACTATTCTTCTTTTCCAATTATCATATATTTTATTACTTTTCTTATTTTCAGCCTCACGGGGAATATATTAAAATACAGAAAAGAAGTGATAATGTGGCACATATTTTTCCTGTTTCTTATATTAAAGTTAATGCTTTCAACATTTAACTATTAAATGTGTTTCCTGTAGGTTTTTGAAGATGGTTGTTATCAGATGAAAGACATTCTCGTCTGTCAAAATTTTGCTATTAATTTTTATCGTAAGTGCATATAAAATTTATTGCACTTTTTCTGTGTCTATTGGGATAATTTGACTTTCGTTTATCAAACTATGAAGTGAATTATTTTAATCAATGTTCCAACATTAAGTCAATCAGTAGTAAACTACACGAGTCCTGATATTCCTAACTTTTGTATATTGTTGGGTTTGATTTTTAAAAGTACTTTATTTATCATTGGGATGATTGGTTTAATTTTGTAGGAAACCTCAATTTTGACATGGCTTTATTCCTTTGTAAGGCTGAAATCTGAAAAGAGAACCCCTTCAGTTTACTTTTCTTCCTATTTGGTGACATTAATGATGGCTCTCATGATGCTGTAGACTTATCAGTAATAATTCTGGTGATTAGGGCCAAGGTGAGAGCTGTGTAGAGCCATTCAAGAATTGTTCATCCCTTTTCTTAAACTATTTTTGACATAGAGCTGTTTTCACTTCCTTATTTTTACTGCTGCTAGTAATTTAAGCAAATAAATAGGAAGATAGAGAGAGAGAGAGGAAATGTCTGTTTACTAGCTAGTAGAGTAGCGCTGTTCTGTGGTATTTCTACACACATACATCTTTCTCCAACAGTCACCTTCTTCTTTTAGAAGTTAAAATAACACTAAAAGCGATAAATTTACTGAAATTTAAAAGTACAGGTTTTTGCAACCATTTATTACGCACAAAAAAGGATTTTCAATTGCCTGAGTTTTGCAGTCAGGGAAAATAGAAAATGCTCGAATCTTTGAAAATTGCGAATGCCTCCAAAAGTCTTCTCTTTCATGCTCTGACTTTGTGGACTTCCTAGCATGTTATCTGTTACCTGCAGGGATTTCATGTGTTATATCGTGACAAGAGGATACTACCTATTTCCCCCTCCTGACTCCTCTTTGATTCCTACAATCTTTACATATTAATTCCTCACATTCTACCCATTTAAGTCAAAAACCTAAGAGAAATTGTTCAGATGTCAGCTAGCAGTCAAGACACCAAAAGAAATTGTTACCCGAAACACAATGCATGGCCCAGACTCTGGTTTGACCGTGGGAGATTCTTGAGGACTCCCCTGATAGCCAGAGCAACTCCTATTTGTTTGGTACCCAACTTTGTAAGCTCTATAACTTGAATTGCAGCTTTATTTGCTATTTGTTCTTAGCCCCCTTCTGCGCCATAGAACTCAAAATAGTCCTGTTCGGAATCATTTAGTGAGTATTTAAAAGTAACTGCAAATGAGTCACAATTTCCCTTCTGCAATTGTTCAATTGTCACACTTTTATTACAATACCATTAGCTCTACATAGGGGAATGCTGCTTTTTCTTGATGTTATTTGCTATTATTCACACATATATGAAGAGCAACACTCGGTGCAGGGCGGCCACACAGAGTTCTGTTTCTCCAGGGTGCCCTGGAGAAATTGATAAAGTAACATTACTTCTCACTTTAACCTTGAGAAGGAGGAAGGAGTTTCTTGGTTGGTAACCCAGAGTTAAGTCCTCCCACTGAATTCTGTGATATTCATTCCTGTGAATGAGATTGAATGTCATATGTCAGGAATTTATTGCTTAAGCACATCACATCCACATTCACAGATACTCCATCCTTATCATTTACAAAGCAAAATGATTAATAACTGATCCAAGAGAGTGAATTGAGTAGGCCCCCCATGATACAAAAAGCCTAGCATTTGATTTTACAAAAGACAAGCCACATGGGCTTTAGAATTCATAGAGAAATATGTCATGCCTATAAATAACTTCATCTCAAAATACTATATTCAGAATTTTTACAGATATGTTGCTTCTGTGTCTAATTTTGCATAACAACTCACCTGATTCTTATAATATCATTATCCTACCTTCAAACCCTGGTTTAGTAATCAGAACATTTGAGCCTTTAGTATTTTTCTGGAATCAATACAGCTTTTTGCTACAATGCAATAGTTTCTTGTGGATTTTTCCTGAAAACATTGTGCTCCTGTGGGTTGAAACACTTTCTACCTTTGTCTTTTAGCTCACCACCTCCACTTACCACTTCTGCTTCTCAGCTTCACAGTGAGCGTTCACAGAGTTGCAGTTTAGCAAATTGATGTTCACAAAAATGAAATCACTAAATTAAAAAATGCTTTTCAAGAAAGAATCTAAGATTGTGGTGGGATGACAGCAGGCAAAATGGTTCAACAAGCACTGCTATAATCTTTCTTTCACTTTGTATTTTGCTTTCAATAATGGCTCATTGAATCTTGCCACTCCTTTCTGCCCACACTTAGTCTTTAAACCTCCAATTACCCATTTAGTAAATTACTAGAAATTAATATTAAGACATGCTTATTCATTTTCTACATTCCCTTCTTTTCTTCCTCCTCTTTGAAATTTGATTCTTAATTGGCACAATTCTTTTTGAGGACATATTGGCAATATATAGCAGATATTCAAAAGAGAATACATGTAATACCCTAACAATCTGAGTTCCTAAAATGTATCCAAAGAAAATAAGCAAATTGAAGCATGCTTATTAACATGTTGTTTATATTAGTGCCTTCTACCTCCCTATGCCTCATCATGAAAGTCACAATCCAAATGTTGATGAATATAAAATTAAATTTTCAGTTTAAAAGTTATGGAACATACAAACAATGTATTGCTAATGATTACTTTAAAATTAACAATATGGATACACACACAAATAAGCATATATACTTATATACATATATGTGTATATACATATATAATGTTGTTTAGGTTGTAGGATTATTAGAAAAATAGATTACAAAACTTTATATTATACAATTATTAAAATATGTAATATTCAGTATCTGTATCAGATCCTGAAGCAGAAAAAGACATCAGTGGGGAAAAAAAGGTGAAATATAAATAAAGTCTGTAGTTTAGTATAGTAATATTCTAAAACTAATTTCTTAGTCTCAAAAATGTACCATGAATACATAAAGAATTAACATTAAGGAAAACTGGATGAAAGGTCAGAACTTGGTGAGAATTGTCTGTACTATGTTTGCAATTTTTCTGTCAATCTAAGATTATTCCAAAATAAAAAGTTTATTTAAAAATTAAGTGGTTCAAAAACACATGCATATATATTACATGATGTAGAGAAAAAATTATTGTTGAGTTAATGATCTATGTCTTGGATTTTTCTTGTTGTAAGGCATAATAATAGGAACAAATTTAAAATATATGTAAGTTTTATTACCACAATAATAAGAATCAGCAATAGACATCAGCACAGTGTAGAGCAATACATCTATCTGATCATCTTCTATAGCAGACAGAAACATAAAACATGAAGGGTTTCTCACATTATTTCTAAGACTGTCTGAGGCTGTATGAAACCATGTGGCCTAACATTTATCCATTGATGTATAGTGGTATCCATATTTATCCATCTAGTTTACAGAGGTCTACAGCATTTGTGATTCTCAGGATTACATGTTGGAAGTCACATATCAGACAGTAAAAAACACTTTCTCAATATTTCAGAAATGAGAATGATTAATTTCTGTGTTTATCATTTACCGCATCATTAACATATTTTTAAAAGGTTTTTTCCTCTCTCTAGGAAAATGCAAGCTACCCACTATCAAAATTAAAACATTTATGAACTGAAAATTTTCTTAACATCTTTAATTGTAACTTTTAAATAGTTAGAATATATTTCATTGTAAATTGAAATGTGCACAAGAGGATTCTCATATTACATGGAAAACTATTGTGGTAACAATGCTATGTAGCAGGGGTTAGTGTATTATATATTGTAGGTCCTTGAAAATCTCTTTTTAAATTACTTATATCAATAATTAATTAAGCAGTTAAAAAATAAGCCATTAAAAATTAAGTTTTTTATATTTTTATTTTTTCTGTCACTTGGCACTTGATGTAATCATCCTTAATAAACAAGGTTGAATTCAAATAATTTTTAAGGCATCACTACACATGATATAAACCTCACAGAGAGTGGAACAATTGTTTTGAGAATAAGCATGTCTTTCATATTGAAATGTGTGAAATTTGATTTATTTTTCAAAACCAAAAGTTAAGCAAGATACTGGATGTTTTCTATATTAAAATCTCTATTTCATGTTCTGCCCAAACATAACAACAGTGGAAAGAACAATGATCCTCTTGGAATTATTTCCTCTGCTAATCAAACAACTATGTAAAAATCTAAGATGGTAAGCTTAATCTGATTATGCTCTTGGATGTCATCTAGAAATTTTAAATGCATGAATATTGTATTAAAAAGTGGTTTTATATAATTATTAACATTTATTAGGGAGAAAAATTCGTAACAAGATACGAACACAAAAGCTTTGTATGCTTCTGAAAGGTAATGCCTTTGTTTATTTATTACTGCATTAATATGAATAAGATTGATATATTTCACCCTTACAGATAAAGGGTAGAGACTGACTTCAGAAGGACTGACAACAGCTAACTTACCAACAGTCCTTTACAGAGATTAACAGCAATTCCAAAATATTTGAAAATATTTGCTAATGATCCAGATTATGTAGTAAAAATATATGGAGATTTATTTTAAGTACGTTAAGTTTTAAACAAACAATAAAAGGGAGAGAAAAGAGCTTCAGGCATCTGCTGGATAATAGCGAAATGTTTAACATTGCTATTATTGAAGTCCCAAAAGTAAGGGAGATAGAGAGTAATTAAAGAAATAATGGCTGAAAGTTTTCCAACTTTGTGACAGACTTAAATTCATAGATCCAAAAAGCTAGGTGTTCCCAAATAGGTTAAACCCAAAGAGATGCTTACCAAGACATATCTTAATTAAACTTATGAAAACTGAAGATTAAAGAAAATCATGAAAGTGGCTGAAAGATAAGACAAATTACATACAGAGAACACCAATTTGAATTAGTGAAATTTTCATATCTGAAACCATTATGGTAACAAGGAAATGGTTCAGGATTTTTTAAGTGCTGAGAGAAGATAACTCTCAACTGGAAATTTTACATTCAGTAAAATTACTCTTCAGGAATAAAGGGAAAATAAAATCTTCTCCTCATACTCCCTTTGCAATTTTTCTGTCAACCTAAGATTATTCCAAAATAAAAAGTTTATTTAAAAATTAAATGATTCAAATACATGTATTTAAACACATGCATGTAGATTAAAGGAAAACTCTCTCTATATATATTATATATATCGCTAGCAGAACTACCCTTGAAGATTGGCTAGGGAGAATGTTACCAAAACACCAGGGCTTCGGTCCAGGTTGTGTGACTTGCTTCGTAGAAAGCCAATCACTGAGACGACAAGTATTGCCAAGGAAGAAGGCTTTAATTGGCCGCTGCAGCTGAGGAGATGGGAACTCAATCTCAAATCTATCTCCATGACCAACTAAAACTAGGGGATTATATAGCAGGGAAGAAATGTAACAGTGTGCAAGAAAACACGAACTAGGGAAGGGCAAGGAGGCATCCGGTGCCATGATCTGGTAAGTTTCAGTTCCTTGATACTTTTTTTGAGTGACCTGAAGATCCTTTTGTGAGGAAGGAACTCAGATAAAACAAATTGAAGTTTCAAGCTTCAACAGAAGCATCTATCTCTATGTTTATTCAAAAACAACTGTCTGTGGTACTATTGGGCCCTTTTCAAGTGTTCTTCAAACAGAAAGTAAATGATAAAAGGAATATTGGAGTACCAGAAAAGAAGAAACAAAATAAGGATAAGAAATAAGTGTAATACATGATACAACATATCACTCTTTATCTAGCCAGTTTTATAAATTATATTTGATGATTGAAACAAAAGTTATAATACTATTTGATACTCAAGATAATGATTTTAAATAGAGGAAAAGAAAAATGCACCTAAATAGAAATGGTATTTTCATACCACCCTCATGTAGTAAAATGTTTTTAACATAAGACTGTGATAAGTCACATAAGCATATTATAATACCAAGATAAACCAAAGAGATATAATCAAAACATTAATAATAAATCAGGATTGAATCCTGAAAAATGTTTAAATAACCCATTAGGAAGGCAAGAAAAGGGAAACACATAGGAACAATGATTAGAAAAAGCAAATATATAAACAAAAGAGTGATTTAGTTTGAAAAAATATGTAAAAGCTTTCCAAAAAATCAAATACACACACAAAAAATAAATTGACAGATGTGTGTGTTAACATAAATATTTTTTAAAAATGTAAATGTACTTAATACATCAACCAAAAACAGAAATTTGACAGTTTGTAAATAAGACAATGACCTGGCTATAAGCTATTTGCAAAAGTCTCACATTAAATTCAACTATGTAGGTAAGTGGAAAGTAAAAGGATGGGAAAGGTAAACCATGTAAATATTAATTTAAACAGAGTAGATGTGCTACATCTGATAAATTAGGCTTCACAGAAAAGAAAGTAACTAAGAAAAAGGGGGATATTGGCCGGGTAGGGTGGCTCACGTCTGTAATCCCAGCACTTTGGGAGGCTGAGGCAGGTGGATCACCTGAGGTCGGGAGTTCGAGACCAGCCTGACCAACATGGAGAAACACGCTGTCTCTACTAAAAATACAAAATTAGTCGGGCGTGGTGGCACATGCCTGTAATCCCAGCTACTCGGGAGGGTGAGGCAGGAGAATTGCTTGAACCTGGGAGGCGGAGGTTGTGGTGAGCCGAGATCATGCCACTGAACTCCAACCTGGGCAACAAGAACTAAATTCCGTCTCAAAAAAGAACAAAAAAAAAAAAAAAAAAGAAAAAGGGGGATATTACATAACTATAAGGATCAATACACCAGAGAAACGTAAGATCCTAAATGTGTATGCAGCAAACAACAGACCACCTAAATTAATCGCGTTAATTTAGGTAGATCTTAATGGAGAAATAAACTAATCCACAAATATACTTAGAAACTTGAACACCTCCCTCTCAGAAACTAACAGAATTCCTTTTTTTTTTTAGATGAAGTTTCACTGTTGTTGCCCAGGCTGGAGCACAATGGGGTGATCTCGGACCACTGCAAACTCTGCCTTCCGGGTTCAAGTGATTCACCTGCCTCAGTCTCCCATGTAGCTGGGATTATAGGCACCCGCCACCACGTCCAGCTAATTTTTGTATATTTAGTAGAGACGGAGTTTGACCATGTTGACCAGGCTGGTCTTGAACTTCTGATCTCAGGTGATCCACCCTCCTCGGCCTCCCAAAGTGCTGGGATTACAGGCATGAGCCACCGCGCCCAGCCCCCACTAACAGAATTACTTAAATAAAATCACTAAGAGCATAAGATAGCCAAACAACACAATAAATCAATAAGAGCTAATTGGCATATGTAGACCATCCTATCCAACAACAGCAGCATGTGTGTTTTTAAAATCATCAATGGAACAAAGATAAATTATATTGTAAATCATAACACCAACCTCATTTATAATATAAAATTATAAAAAAAGAAATTATACAGAGTGTATTTGTGATCATGGTGGAATCAAACTAGAAATTAATAAAAGGAACTTCTAAACACGTGAAAACTACATAGCTCACTTTTAAATGACTATGGGTTAAATACAATGTCTCTAAGACAATAAAAAACATAAAACAATGGAATCATAACTACAACATAACAAAATCATAACTGAGAAGAAAATTCATATCACTGAATGCTCACATTAGAAAAGACAAGATGTCCCAAATCAGTTAATTTTTTTTATCAATAAGCCACACAAAAAGAACACGATAAACTCAAACAACAAAAGAAGGGAATAGTAAATATAAGAGTAGAAATGAATTAAGCTGAAAACAGCATACACAGAGAAAATCAATAAAACAAAAAGCTGGTTCTTTGAAAAAATCAATAAAAATGATAAAACTCTTACAGAGATAAAAGGATCTAAAACACAAATCATCAATATCAGGAGTGAAATGGGAGATACCTGCTAAAAGAATAATAATGAATACTAATGGGACACTATGAACACATTTAGTTTTATAAATTGGACAACTTAGAAGATATTGATGAAATCTGTGAACCACTAACTCCTATATACAATGATCTCTATCTGAATAATCCTATAAAAACTAAAACCAATTACTTTGAGATTTAAAATCTTCTGAAAAAGAAATCTGAAAGCCATATGGTTTCGCTGAAAATTTCTATCAATTATTTAAATAAAGATGAGCACTAATCTTACACAAGCTCTTCAAGAAAATAGAATAGGAGGGGACACATCCAAACTTACTTGGGGGGACCCAGATACAAAAATTAAGCAAAGATAATACACACATAAAATAAACTACAGACTAGTATCACACAGGACCTCATATGTAAACAAAACTCAAAAATTAAAAAAACTAAAAGAAAAAATTGAAGAAATAAAATATCTGCAAAAATTATGAGTAAACTGAATCCAATAGTGTATAAAAAAACTATATATCAATAGACCATTACCAAGTGATATTTATTTCTGGCATTCAAGGCTGGTTCAATCGTTGAAAATCAGTGTAATACAACATATGAACAAGGTAAAGATGAAAAATCATGTGATCATAAAAAATGATTCACAAAAATTATTTGACAATATCCAATACCCATTCATAAAAAAACAGCAGAAAGTTAGGAATAAGGAGAATTTTTCTCAGTTTCATAAAGAATATCCTAAGGAATCAAGTATTTAGTCTACATTTAATAAACCATGTACAGGATCTATATGCTGAAATTACCAAATGCTAATTAAAGAAATAACAGAAACCTAAATAAACTGGAGAGAATTCTGTTTTCATAGATTATAATACAAAATATAGTAAAGTCTATTGTCCACAAATTGATCTGTAGGTTTAATGCAATTGACATACAAATTCCAGCAAGGAATTTTGTTGACATAAACATGATTATTCTAAAATTTATATAGAAAGGCACTATCCTTAGAATAGGTAAAATAATATTAATAAAGAAGAATTAGTTGGGAGAAACCAATCCAACTGATATCAAGGTTTACTTTAGAGCTACAGCAATCAAGATAGTGTGATATTGGTAGAAAGGTAGTCACATAAATCAATGAATGCAACAGAGAACACAGAAGCAGCTGGGCGCGGTGGCTCATGCCTGTAATCCAAGCACTTTGGGAGGCCGAGGCAGGTGGATCACCTGAGGTAGGGAGTTCAGGACCAGGCTTACCAACATGGAGAAACCCCATCTCTAGTAAAAATACAAAATTAGCTGGGCACGATGGCTCATGCCTGTCATCCCAGCTACTCGGGAGGCTGAGGCAGGAGAATTGCTTGAAGCTGGGAGGCCGAGGTTGTGGTGAGCCGAGGTCACACCATTGAACTCCAGCCTGGGCAACAAGAGTGAAATTCCATCTAAAACAACAACAACAACAAAACAGCAAAAACACACAGAAGCAAAGAAACAAAGTTAACTAATTTTTGACAAAGATACAGAAGCCATTCAATGGAGAAAACGGAAAACATAACCTTTTCAACAAATAAAGTCAAGCAATTGGACAAACGTCAAAATGATGACACTTGACATAAAACTTATACCTTATATAAAATTTAACTCAAATGGGTCACAGACTTAAATATAAAACTTAAAATTACAATACTTTTTAAAAAACATAGGGGAAAATATTAGTGATGTAGGGCTCGGTAAAGAGGTTTTAGACTTGACACTGACAGCATTATACATTAAAACATGTTAAATTATACCTCATCAAAATTAAAAACCTTTTGGCCTGGTGAAAGCCTGTATAATAGCATTATCTGGAGAAACAGAACCAATTGTGTGTGTGTCTGTGTACACACACATATATATATATGAGTGATTGACCCACACAATTATGGCAGCTAAGAAGTTCCATAATCTTCCAGTCTGCCACGTGCAAGCTGCAAGCCCAAGAAAGCTGGTGGTGTGCTGGTTCTGGTCCAATCCCGAAGGCCTGTGCACCATGGGAACTAACAGTATAAGCTCCAGTTCAAATCTGAAGGTCTGAGAACATGTAACACCCGATGTCTGAGGGTAAGGGAAGATGGATATTCTACCTCAAGTGGAAAGCAAATTCACTTCTTCCACTATGAGAGGATGCAGCAATAAGATGGCTATATATAAACCAGAAAGTGGGTCCTCCACAGACACTGAACCTTCCAGTACCTTGATCTTGGATTTCCCAGCCTCTAAAACTGTAAGAAATAAACTTCTGCTGTTTATAAGCCACCAATTCCATAGTATTTTTGTTATAGCAGTCTGAACACACTAAGACAGCTCTTATAAGGAGAATGAAAGTACAAGATACAGATTGGAAAGATACTTGCAAACCACATATCCAACAAAATAGTACTATCTATAAAATAGAAAGAACTCGAAAAATTCAACAGGGCAAAACAAACTATCTTTAATAAATAGGTAAAGACATGAAGAGATTATTCAAGAAGATATACAAATGGAAAATAAGCACATGAAAATATCTTCAACATCATTAGCAATCAGGTAAACATAAATTGAAATGATATAGTACACACCTATCAGAATGGCATATTTTACAATCATTGCCACCAATATCTTACCCTTTCTTCTGGCAGGGATCATGTTTTCTTATGATTTTTTTCCTTAATACAATTTAATAGTAAGTTAATAAATACCTGTTGTATGACTGAGTTAAGTAATAGTAAAAATATAGTAAAAAATAGTAGTAAATATAGTAAATTAGTAAATATAGTAAAAAATATAGTAAATATAGTATATTTATAGACTATATATTTATATATTTAGTGTATTTGTATACTATATATTTATATAGTTAGTATATTTGTATACTATATATTTATATATTTAGTATATTTGTATACTATATATTTATATATTTAGAATATTTGTATACTATATATTTATATATTTAGTATATTTGTATACTATATATTTAGTATATTTGTATACTATATATTTATATATTTAGTATATTTGTATACTATATATTTATATATTTAGTATATTTATATACTATATACTTATATATTTAGTATATTTATATACTATATACTTATATATTTAGTATATTTATATACTACATATTTGTATAGTATAAAAGTAGTAGTAATATAGTAAAAAAAGTAAGAATAAATAGTAAAAAACTAGTAAATTCTATAATTGTCACACTAGAGTAACAGTTGTTCTAATACATTAAAAATACATAGGAAAGTGAATAAAGACAAGTTTCCCTAGCTTGTGTTGCTGCAAGAAAGTAAAACTTTTTCTACTTTCCTTTCTTTTTCTTTTTTCTTTTTTCTTTTTCTTTTTCTTTTTTTTTTTTTGAGATGGAGTCTCACTCTGTTGCCAGGCTGGAGTGCAGTGGCGCAATCTCAGCTCACTGCAACCTCCGGCTCCCGGGTTCAAGTGATTCTCCTGCCTCAGTCTCCCGAGTAGCTGGGATTACAGGTGCCCGCCACCACACCCAGTTAATTTTTGTAGTTTTAGTAGAGACGGGGTTTCACCATGTTGGCCAGGATGCTCTTGATCTCTTGACCTCGTAATCCACCCGCCTCGGGCTGCCAAACTGCTGAGATTACAGGCATGAGCCACCGCGCCCAGCCTATTTTCCTTTCTTTATACATTTTCCTGGTCTACGCACTCCACCATCTTGGAGCGTGACATCCAGGCCTGGCAGAGTATGATGATTTACTAGGATCCTGGGCTGCTGAAATCATCAAGAACCAATCCAGCCTAATTTGCCTACTCTGACTCTTATAAGAGTGATAACTATGTTTATGTCTTATATAAGCCACTTTTATTTTCAGTCACTCCTAGCCAAACCTATTTCTAACCAATATCCTGGGCCACAAAAATAGAACTGGATTTGCCTTTGAAAGATGAATGAAAGGTAGTACCTGTATTAGTTCAGAAACTCATACTTGAGAATATTTTAGGAGATGAATTTTATTCTTGAATATTTATAGAACTTCCATGCTCCAGATTCCCTGTGAAACAGGAAGTAGAATAAATTCAGTCTTACATCTTTTGTAAATAGTAACTACTATTAATTTGGGTAAAAAATTGAATGGCACATCTTCCACTGATTAAAAATAATATCTCGGCCGGGCGCGGTGGCTCACACCTGTAATCCCAGCACTTTGGGAGGTGGAGGCGGGTGGATCACGAGGTCAGGAGATCAAGACCACGGTGAAACCCTGTCTGTACTAAAAATACAAAAACTTAGCCGGGAGTGGTGGCGGGAGCTTGTAGTCCCAGCTACTCGGGAGGCTGAGGCAGGAGAATGGCGTGAACCCGGGAGGTGGAGCTTGCAGTGAGCCGAGATCGCGCCACTGCACTCCAGCCTGGGTGACACAGTGAGACTCCGTCTCAAAGAAAAAAAAAATCTCAATTATAAGAAACAAAAATTAATTTGTAGACAAGTTCAGTTTTCTGCATAACTTAGACATGATAACATTAAATTTAAAAAGTGATCTTGCCTATTATACTTAAATTCTAACAGATTATGTGTTTAAAATCACACAAACAGAAATAAATAACAAAACAGAGACAAAATGTGCAAAACTTGAATAAAAAGAAAGCAGAGACAAAATGTGCAAAACTTGAATAAAAAGAAAGCAGAGACAAAATGTGCAAAACTTGCAGAACTGGAAAGGTAAAAAATTTAAATTCTTAAAGAATGCTAGCGTGTAATTGAAATCAGGCTTCATTAACTCTAATTAGGCTTCCTGCACACATACCTAAATTTCATTGCATCAGGCTTCACAGGTAGGTATACTTTGGAGTAAATGCCTATTCAAAGTTTCCTGACACAACAGTTTAAATTTTAAGTAGTCTAATATATTCTATTTTATTGAAATCTCTCAACAGTGTACTTCGATGTCCTAGAATATTTATCTTCACAAAATATGCATGATTCACAAAGGCTTAGAAATCCAAAAGCTACAGTTTGCTTTATCATATATTTGTGTTATATTTCCCCTCTTACACAGTCAAAGAAACTATGAATAGTTGGTCAATTTTAATGGTGAAATAGGTGATGTCATGATTAATTTTGATTATGCAATATACCGGAACCACCATTACCAAAAGTGTCAAGTTTTCTTTGCACAGCCTTATTGTTTATTCCATTCTAGTTGCTATTGAAGTTGTTTGTCTGCCTCATTATAGTATAAACTGCCTGAGGATAAAAGAATGACTCCCTCGTTTTTTTGTTTGTTTTGTTTTTGGTTTTTTAAATTCCTACAGCTCTTTGACCACTGCTCTACACAATAAATGCTAAATTGAACCAACTTTTTTCTAAGGTAGGAATGACTCTAAAAATGTAAAAACAAAAACCTCAGATTGAATAATTTGCAAAGTTTATTTAAGCATAGTTTATTACTGAGCCCTGCCAGTCCTGCTCACTTCTTTTTAGTAAAGGTGGCCAAAAATGCAGGTCATAGGGGCTAATGTTGAGCTGGTACAGGTGGGTGTGGGGGTACCAGATGTTTATAAGTCATCTTTAACTTTGTGACCCATCAATATCCAAGTTGTGGCAGCTGATCAGCATTAGAATATCACCTCTCTAGTTTATTCCACAAAATCCAACAGGGCAATGAAGAACTGCAAACTGGAAAAGGTTAACTTCAATTGAGGGTTAGACCAGTATTTTTACATGGAACGCTTCTAAACAGATGTTACTTGGTTAGAAGACAAATAAACAAATAACATCATAAAAATGGCTTAAGTAACCATGTGTGCCTTTTTGGTCCCAAAGCCAAGGTGGCGCATGAGTCTCTGCTGTGTATTCTCCCGAATTCAAATATAGAGGCATGGAGAGAAAGCTGTGCCAGGCATTAGCAGCAATTTTATTGTGGAATGAACATGGAGGAGACATGTTTTCTGTTATGTTTCAGCATGGCACTTTACATTTCTAAAGGAAAAAAGAATTAGTAAAGTAGAAGAAATCAGTTAATGAATAATTTTAAATTTTAGCACGGAAACAGAGACACTGAGGCTAATCTGCAGTTAATTTCAGCATAAATCATGGTGAAACACACCCTGGTGAACCATATCAAAGAGGGATTGGAAGATGAAACAAAACTGTTAAAAGGTCAAAGAAGATGTGGCAGAAAGGACCTGCCCCCAATAGTTGATTATTCCACCAACTCCTTTGTGAGGACGAAATAGAGTTAATACCAGAACTATATTTTAGTACTCATAAATTCTATGTGATTGTGTATGTAAGTACCTTAATAAGACGTAAAATGAGATTATTCTAGCCTCAGTTTTAGCCTAAGCGCTGAGATAATAGTTTCTAACAGGTTTCATATTCCAGAATAAGTTTGAATGAATTTGCTAAGAAAGGTGTGGTGGACAGAATAACGGCACACCCCAAAGGTATTCACATCCTAATACCTAGAACCTGCAAATACATTATGTTACATAGCAAGAGGAATTACGATTGCAGATGGAATTAATATTTCTTATCTGCTAACTTTAAGATAGGTATATTACCCTGGATTATCCATGTGGACACAATGCAACCACAAGGATCCTTAAAAGTGGCAGCAAAAGGCAGGTGAGTCAGTGTTAAAGTAATGCAATGTGTAAAAGACTCAACCGGCCATTGCCAGCTTTGCCAATGGAAGGGGACTATGAGTCAAGGAATACGGGAAACCTCTAGAAGGTAATTTGGGAAAGGAACCATAGGAAATGAATATAGCAGTCACTAAGGATTAGTTTTGTTTCTCTGAGTTAGCCACTTACCTGAAGCCTATAACATATCTACAGCTTGTTGCAGAAGAATGTTGCAGATATCTAAAAATGGTGGTGGAAGATTAGAGGACTGTTTAGAGAGTTGCTTGTCTTCTAGCCCAACACTAGTGAGAAAGGGTTCAAAGAAACCTTTCAGGGAATATAATATGTGCCCTCTGGATTTGGGGGACAAATGAACTGTTGTAAGAATCCTCTATGAAAACAAATTAGAAAGGAATTGCTAGTACCAGAAGCTGTTTATATTAAAAGCCTGCAATTCTACCAATACATGTAGTCAAATATTCAAGAGTTCTCTAAGAACAAATATACAAGCCATGGCAGTAATGTCATCACTGGGCAGCTTTGAAAGTAATTTTCATTCAAAGCCCTTGTCAGTGGAGAAGTTACCTGAGCAATACATGATGGAGGTATACCTTTGGATGCAGAAAGCAGAGGTGCATTAGAAACCAGTCACACAGAAGCACTGCCTCCATCATGGGCATCATGTCAATGGGGCCACTGAAGAATTCATAGAAGATCCCTCAACAAAACGGGTCAATTTCAAACATATGCTACTGCCAAAGGAAATCAATGCTGGATTGCTTTGGTGCTGTTTAAGTCAGTTCTTTCCTGTCCCTTCATTTCTTCATTCTCCTTAGCTCCAACTCTAACTCTGGAGAGAATTTGTTTAATGGTACGATGCTTGTTTCCTATGTCTCTCAGTCCAAATGGTATAAAGGAGCTTCAACATACAGCTCTAATGTTTACAACAGGGTTGAAGAGAGCAGACACATAAAGCCTAGTATTTCATAAACAAACCTTGAATTTTGGTAGATGTTTTATTTAAGTGCCCCTCCCTAGCCCCATCACTTCTGCCCAGGTAATAGGGTTTTATTCACAGTATGGCTGCTTCTACTGGAACATTAGGGAGTGGGTAGGAGATAAGATCCCAGGAGGTGATGACAGAGACTAAAGAAAAGGACAAGGGGATCTAAACACAAGAAATTAGATGACCTGCCTAATGAATATTTGGGCATTCACACAAGCCTGCCTACTGTCAAACAAGAAATTATCTTCGTACTTAGAAGAAAGAGAATCAAGCATAAGGGTATCAGGCTCATTTGTCAAGGGAAGAAACAGAGTGATTGCAGATCCCAAACTATAATTTTCCCAAAGACTAACTTGATACTAAAGTAATTTAAATTTAGTTAATTAAATTTCACAGGAAAAAAAAAGGCAATAGATGTGTTCTACGTGCATGCATGCACACAAACACTGATGTCCAAGACAGTTTCTGAAGTAATGAGAGAAGTGTTGATTCTAGAATCAAGGTAATCCTTTAATTAAAAATGGCCCATTTCGTTTCAAATTTGTAAAGCAAATGAACAGGTGGTGAAATGTCAGTGACCTTCTTTTAGTATGTCCTCATTACTTTGTTGCTTTCTGACTCTTAACAACTAAATTTGAAGTATTATCAAGATGAAGTGGCTTTTTGGCAACGTTCAAAGGATTGGTTTTCAATTCTGGCTGATAATGCCAGCTCCCAATATGAGACTTTTATTTCTTTCAGTTAATTCCTTGTGTAATACACCTACTCACAGTTTTCATCTAATGCTCAAATCCAATTTCTTTTAAGAAACATCAGAATTATCTAAATCAGCACAAACATTTTCAAGTGAAATAAAATAAGCCATCAGAGGGATGATATTTTCAGAAAGTTTTTTGTTGTTGTTCAGATTCAAATTGAAATAAAAACTGTTTTGGGAACATAAGCTAGAAATTGAACTTTTTTTTCTTAACATCAGAAATATTTGAAACAGATTCTGTAGGCAAGACAATTGGTTTGATTTGAAAAGCCAGTATTTTTTTTTTTAAAGAGACATGAAACAGATACTATGTTTTGAAGTAATGATTATATTTATTAACAGCTCTTTTTGTCAGTATATGCTTTTGAGTCTAGATTTCTTATACAGAACAAGTAAAAAATGAGTGTTTTGTCCTGTTAGCAGCATGATATTTTTTCATTAATAGATCAGAAAAGCTCAGAAATTTGTCATTAGCAACTATTTCCACTTGTAGTTTATAGCTCATCTGAAGGTTTTGGCTTTGTTTCTGTCTTCTTGTTGAGTGATGTTTTCTGGATTATTGTTTTTCAAAAAACAGCATGCTGCAGATTCGTCTGAGATTCCTGTTTTGTACTGATTCCTGGGCTCTGTCTCAAGTGCCACAGACTACAGTGTTAGAATTCATGAGGCTGAAACCCAGAGGTGAATTTTAATAAACTTTCCAGGTGACTTTTTTAGTAGTAAATTTTGAAAAGCCCTGTACTAATAAATAAAATCTGAATTGTAAATTGTCATAAACTTGCAGTTTCTGTGGAAACAGGCTCAGTTTAATCTGTTGTATTTTACTAATAAGTGGTAATCATCTAATTTAATTCAAGATCTCATTTATAAAAGGAATTGATTATTCTGCCCTCACAGTAATACTAATCTATCTGTAAGAAATTGGAGTATTGGGCATTTTTCTTTGAGAAGTGAATTGAATATGCATAGGTCAATCTTTATTGGGAAATAGCCTCAAATTATTACTCTAGCAATTTCCTGAGTATCCATATTTCAACAGTTCTGTAAAAAGAAAATGTGTTAAATATGTCACATCTTTTGGAGTTGTCCCCAGGTCAAAATAAAGCTAACTAGAAAATTAATGCCCACAAGAAAATCAACAGACAGCCTACCCCATTACCCTGAAATGCTGAAAGGAATCAAGGTGGTTGTCCAGGTCATTTTTCATTCCAGTGTGTGACCTTCCGCTCAGAATGTTTTTAATCTGGCTAAGCATGAAATCTTTTCATCCCTGAAGGTCATCTTTTCTATTTGCAGATGGCTCAAATCATTGCAATGTTATTCTGTATGGTGAGCTACAGCTTTCCTCTTTTTAGCTTCTGTCTACTAGAATAATTTTCAAACTCCAAAAAAAATACACAGCAAACCTAGCATTTATTTGATATGATAACTTTTTAAATCTTTCATTAGAAATATGTTCTCTTGGGCTTTCTCTCCAAACACACGAAGATATCTTTTTCAACTGCTCTGATTATAGTATTTTTTGTTGTTTTTTGTTTGTTTATGTTTAGAGACAGGGTCTGACAATGTTGCCGAGGCTGGTCTCAAACTCCTGGGCTCTAGTGGTCCTCCTGCCTCAGCCTTCCACATAGCTGGGTCTATAGGTGCATGCCACCATGCCCAGCCAGATCATAACTTTAAAACCTTTTCTATACTTGGTCACTTTGTGCCAATTTCAGTTATTCCTCTTTGAAGCATATTTCACTGAAAATATTGTTTTCCTTATAAGATAAAGAATGTTGTATTTGTTGTATCATTTATTCTGGAATTTATACTTTGGTTAAGACAATCTAAGATAGGACTGTTATTCATTTATTTTGTTTTTAAAAGTTGTTGTCATTTGTTTTATTTTCTTGGAAGTCATATCACATTATTATTAACTTATTTTTGGTTTTTAGGCAAAGAAATTCCAAATGATTTTGCTTTTCGGTACTGATACTTCATTGTATATTGGTATAGTTGATGTGATGGATTTATTGAAATGGTAAATGTATCTCATCAGTGTAGCCCCATTCTCCTTGCAAAATCCACTCATTCTGTGAATATTCATGATAGTATTTTGTATCTGTCACTGAGGGAGGCATGTTATAGATAAGAAAGAAACAATTACAAACTTTGACTCACACTAAATTGAGGAGATAGAACCTCATGTGGTATAAAACCATGAAAAAAGAAGAAACAATGTCGTACGTCATGTAGTAGACTTGTAAGAAGATTCCACTGGGAAAACAATGAGGGAACATTTAATGGATTGAGGAAACAAGGAAGAATTTTGAAGAGACTTCAAGTTTCAGAAGACAGAACGCAAAATAGAATTTTATTTCATTGAATTATATTATTTTGTTTGTTGGTTTGTTTTTGGTCTTCTCAACTAACTTTCCTTGCCTAATTAGGGAGAAACTTGTACACCAACAAAATTAATGTAATGCAAAAGGGTTTCTTCTCTTTCTTTTTTTTGAGACAGAGTTTCGCTCTTTTTGCCTGGGCTGGAGTGCAATGGCGTGATCTCGGCTCACCGCAACCTCTGCCTCCCAGGTTCAAGTGATTCTCCTACCTCAGCCTCCTGAGTAGCTGGGATTACAGGCATGCACCACCACTCCTGGCTGATTTTGTATTTTTAGTAGAGATGGGGTTTCGACATGTTCGCCAGGCTGGTCTCAAACTCCCAACCTCATGTGATCCGTCTGCTTTGACGTCCCAAAGTGCTGAGATTACAGGCATGAGCCACCATGCCCGGCCGTGCAAAGGGGTTTCTTATAAAGCAAAGGAAAATATAGTTTTAAGAGAATTTGAAAAAGTGATGAAATTTAAATAAAGCAGTGCTTTTGGTTTTGGTCCTTAAATAAAACATTGTTTCACTAGGCTCAGTGCAAAGTAGGTCTCTCTAAAAGAGTAAACACCAGATCTAGACTGCAAAGTGAACTTAGGACCCTATTTCCTTGAAAACTACCACAAAATTAAGATAGATGTGGAATATTGTGTGCAGGAATCCCTTATCGAAAGCTGTGTATCTGGGTTGACGATCAAGGCAGCTTCTCTGTGTCAAAGCATGTTAGATCCTCTAGTCCTCCACAGTTTCTGATAGTCCACAATTTTAGATAACAAAGCTATTCGGTAACCAAACAAGAAATTATCACTCAAAGAAGGAATTATGACACTTTACAACTGACAACTGTAGTGTGTATTTGGGAGGAACATTGTTTCCTATCAATTTTGCCACGGGTTTGTGTTTGTCAGGTATCCTGGCTTGATACACGGCTGGGCAGAACTTTATTTTCTGAGTCTGAGCAAATGTTTACTCTTTCACAATATACTTCTAATTCCTCATACACTATGATGGCTCTAAGCACCCTGTTATCTCAGACTTTCTTGATTTTGCATCAACTTTCATCGTTTGTCATTGTGAACTCCACTTCATCTTCCTGGTGTTGGTTGAAGATTTCCCCTTCTGTAAGCCCTTTCTGCACTCTCTTCCCCCTCTCATTTGATGGCTTCCTCCTTGGTATTTTGAATGTGCCACATGTGCTGGTTATTCTCCTTTCAGTCTCCAGATTCATTCTCATCTCTCTCATCCTTGCTGTGTATTGTAAGAACAAGTTTGGTGGTGGTGAACATTAAATGTAGGTTCCAGGCATGAGCAAAATTGAATTGATGTCACTTTCTAATTATATGATGGCACATTATCTTTTCTATATTGGGTACACAACTTTTTAGTTGAAACTAATTAAGGGCATAAATACTGAGTGATATAATCCATGAGCTATACTGGTTGTTCTCTTTGTTTCCAGACCCGTTTTGTTGCTCTGAAGTTTGACTTCTGAGGCTCACTTTTATACTGTCTTCTACATTTCACTTAGGTTCAACCAATGTGTGATAATATCAGAAGACTGGAGGGTGGAACAAAAAGATAGATGAGGGTATTTATTCCTTTTCTCCTTGTTACCAACACTTCTGCGTGTGGCTGCATTCCTTCATAGCTATAGTTTGGGTTTGTGGCCCTTCCTTTTTTTTTTGTTTTTTTTTTGAGACAGAGTTTTGCTCTTGTTACCCAGGCTGAAGTGCAATGGTGCGATCTTGGCTCATTGCAACCTCCACCTCCTGGGTTCAAGCAATTCTCCTGCCTCAGCCTCCTGAGTAGCTGGGATTACAGGCATGCGCCACCACGCCTGGCTGATTTTGCATTTTTAGTAGAGACAGGGTTTCTCCATGTTGGTCAGGCTGGTCTCAAACTCCTGACCTCAGATGATCCACCCGCCTCAGCCTCCCAAAGTGCTGGGATTACAGGCGTGAGCCACCGCGCCCGGCCAGGTGGCCTTTCTGTAGCTCAAGCTCACAGTGCGCTTCCTTTTTCCCTTCAGGCAGAATGCAGGAAGCAGTGTCCGTTATTGATGATCCCTGGGTACTTTCCCATCCCTTAATGGTTCCCTTAAATCTGTTCACATCACGTTAATAGCACCTCATTAAATCATTTTGATTAAACCTTAAGTGTGCTATTTATTTCTTGCTAGGACTCCAATTTATATACCCCAATTTAGCACCAATAATTGTTAGCATAAATAACAATAGCACTATGTTATTGATCTCACTGATAGCTATCTATTTCCACAAGTGTTTTAAAGACTTGATTATGTGAATAGGATATTATTATCTGTACAAAGGGTTTGGCATATTGCGAGAACTGAAGTATTATTGCAAGGACTAAAGAACTAAAATATTATTGAAGAAATGACTAACTGAATGAAAAAATAAATGAAGTAGCCTCAACAGGTTTATGAAAGACATTACTAAAATATGGAGTATAAGCCATGGCAAAAACTGTGAAGAATGTCATTACAAATACTACAATAGATGACTACTATCTGTTTTGGTCTGGTTATTCAATCAGTTATTGGTTTATCATCTAGCTGCTAGATCCTAGCATGTGTTTTTGAATGTGATTTTCAAGGCTCTCATGAGAGACATTATAAAGTAATACATGTATTACAAGGTATTAGGTTCACTAGGACATGAAGTTAGTCTGGTATGATTTTCTTTTGGTGAATGTTCTTATCACTGATAAATTACTCTAAGAACAATGCCCTAGATTGCAGGCAAATTCATTTGTTAGTGCTTTCCAGAATCTACCTGCGGTGGTCATGATTCTTCTTCCACTAACGTGGTTCCATAAAAATATCACAGCTATCCCTTTAAATCAAGTTCAATCTGAATGTATGACCCTATCCTGCTGAGCAAGCAAAAAATTGCATCTCAGTCATTTTTTAGACTCTTTACCCCTACACCAGTAAGGGTCATATAATAGCCACGGAGATTTCACGTAGCAACATGGTATCTGACCATCTGAACACACATTTTTCTGAAATGCGCTTTACCCAATCTGAGAATCACTCTACAGTTGAGAATTCCATTGTTTCCGTTTGACGTGGGGCACAGAATATTTTGCTACATCTGGAAGCAATCAGACTCAGACTCCAAACTCCCTGTATGCACCCTTTCCAGATACTGGGAAATTTCCTTAGGGCTGACTTAAAGAGAAAAGAATCCCCCCCGCCCACCATAATCCAATCATAGAACTCAAGAAAAATTTGAAAAATCAAGATGGGATGATTGGTTGTTTGCGATCAGAGTTTGATTTCAGTTTTGCATGACAAACTTCCCCTGAGTAGAGAGACAGCTTAACATATCCTGGTACCTTCCTGAAACTGGGAGTGAAAACACACAGGTTATATGACTCAAAATATGTTAATTCAAGCAAAATGGTAAGTTATAATTTGCCTGAGATCTATGCTTGTATGGTCCTTATCTGTTCAAAGTCAGCTGAGTGGCAAATAGTAGTTATGGTCAAAAAATTAATACACTTGTGATTAATGAATGAAACGCAATAAAACAAAAGACAAAAAGCCTATATCAAAGAGGCTTTATTCTTTATTTGTTTTGCTTTTATGAAAATGTACCACATAAGAGGTATGGGCATAATGATAAAAAGTATATTCTCATGCTTGGCATCATGAAAACTAGATATATAGATAATATTGTTTCATGGGTTGTTTGTACCTTTTTTTCCTTTTCCTTTTTTTGTATTGCATTACTACACAGTTAACAGGTTTAAAGTACTATTATTTATTTCATAAAATATACATAAAAGGCACACATCCATATTACAAAAAGAATAAAATAAAATATATTTATATCATTTTATTGCCTCTATATTTAGATAGATCACACATTTTGGCATTTTTTGAACTAGAAATGGTTTCCAAACCTTGGCCTTTAAAAATGTTGAAGATAATATAAGCTTAAGGCATAATTTGTTTTTAAAATATGGTCATTTTTAAAGATTCTTGAATTATTATAAAACTATCTTGAGAAAATACTTCACAACCTAATTTACCATCACATAATATAAAGAATATCATTAAAAATATTATTAGTTTGCCCTTCACAATGTAAGTGCTATAATATTTCAAATTGTGTTGTCATATTTTTCTGATGTGACTATTTATGTTTGAGACTTAAAATATGTCCATAGAGGGAGAAGGAATTTAAATAGTCCATAATCTCTTAGCCCTGAAAAGATGTTTTTAGTCATGTCTATATCTATGGTTGCATTTTCACATTCACGGTGAATTTTCTCCCAAATACAACACTAGATGATTAGAGGTTTTAGAAAAATAATAACAATAAAATTTTCAGCATAATTAATATCAGATGAATAAAAACGGTCACAGGCATGATAGCTGAAACATAATCTTAAAAATGTAAGAGCAGTATCTTTAGAATTTTTTAATTTTAATTGCTTAATTCGGTTTTCAAAAGTATTTTTTTTCTTTTACGTCAAGGTAGTACTTAATGTTTATGGTCAAATGATCCAATCATGAAGAATAAAACATCCAACTGTTTAAAATGTATTTGGTGCTATTTGCTTGGGATGTAAAATTATAATAAGAACAACATAAAGCTCCTTTATGGAATTAATTTCTTTAAATTTATAAACCATTTATCAAGAAGAAGACTTGCCTCAGGATAGATAATATATTGAGAAGTTCTGGCTTCAAATTTTCTGAGAAGGAAACTATGGTTTCAGAATAACAAACAAATAATACACCGTTCAAAGTTAAAAACAGAAAGAGCTAATGTGTGAAAGCGATAACTAATACTTGACACTTTCTCTGAATAGCATGTGGGACTAGGCTTACAAAGTTTCAGAAATGGAAAGTAATTTGCCAGGTACAAAAGAAAGCAAATGATCCACACATCCTGTAACTGTAATAATACACAGGGACCAATGATTATTGACTCATTGACTGGCATACAGAACAAACCAAGTAAGTCAAGAAAAAATACTATTTTAAAAATATCTTCCAATTCTTTCCTCATTATTTTACAGTTACCTTTATTTTATGATCTCTGTCATTTCTATGGTTTTCTATTGATGAGTTTCTCTTCTTACTATGATTCCTATTTTGTGGCATTTTACATGTGATTAATTATTAGATGCTGCATCTTTTGAGCTTCTGAAATTTATTCTCTTTCTTTAAAGCTACAAAGTTTATTTTGGTAACCATAAGCCACATTTGATTACTGAACATTAAAATTTGAATTTATATTTTTAAAATTAAATTAAATTAAAAATTGTATTTTTCAGTGACTCTAGTGACATTTTAAGTGCTTAATAACTACATGTTCATGTTTAGACAGTGAAAAATAATATTTCCATCAGAGCATAAAATTCAATCAAACATTACTTTAAAGGATCTTTGTTTCTTTAAAGTAGGCAAATTATTTGCAGACCAATTTAAACTTTTTGAGATGTGATTTTTAGCTTTTTTTTATGGTAGATATACAGAGGTCTTTATTCTAGGGCAATTTTAGATCTTGTACTAAGCCTTGATCTTTCTGAAATCTTCACAGAAGGCCTCAGGTGTTCAAACAGGTTCTCCACTCTGGCTAGCTGGAACTCCCACGCCCCTGAAGCATGTGTGTACTCTGAGACATCTTCAGCTAATGAAAACCTGGGACTTGTTTTTGTCAAGCCTCATAAAACATCACCCTGTAACATGTGCAGCTTGGTATTTAGGCCGTGTAAGTGGAGCCCTACGCTGGAATTTTTCTTTGCTCCCTTTTCTCTGTGACTCTGACACACGTACTTTAGTCGCTTTATTCTCTCCCTGAACTCTCTATCTTCTCAACCAAGCAAACGTACTAAACCCTACTCAGGTTTCCCTCCTTGCAGCACGGTCCTCAAAATGTTTCAATGGACAAATCCTGGGCTCTCCTTGTTTGTTTTCCTTCTCCCAGGAATAACTATCCCTCTCTACTTTTATCTGACATATGAAAAGTGTTGATTCAATGCATTTTTTCAATTTCTAGTCTTTCTGGTGAAATAGCAAATATAGCACATAACCGGTACTATTTGCTAATAATTTGTTCAGGATTTTCTGTCTATGTTTATAAAGAATGGTCATTTATTTCCATTTCTTATAGTGTCTTTTGAGTTTTACTCTGTTTACTTGGTACAGTAGGTTGAATAAGGTCCCCTAAAGAGGTCTATATTCAGAATCTGCAGGCCAGGCGCGTTGACTCACGCCTGTAATCCCAGCACTTTGGGCGGCCGAGGCGGGTGGATCGCGAGGTCAGGAGATCGAGACCATCTTGGCTAACATGGTGAAACCCCGTCTCTACTAAAAATACAAAAAAATTAGCCGGGCACGGTGGCGGGCGCCTGTAGTCCCAGCTACTCGGGAGGCTGAGGCAGGAGAATGGCATGAACCCGGGAGGCGCAGCTTGCAGTGAGCCGAGATAGCGCCACTGCACTCCAGCCTGGGCGACAGAGCGAGACTCCGTCTCACACACACACAAAAAAGAATCTGCAAATATCCTGCCTTACATGGAAAAGGGACTTTGCAAATATGATGAAAATAAAGACCCTGAGACAGAGAGAGAGAGTACTGTGGATTATCCGGATGGTGTCAATATACTCATGTGTTTCTGAAAAGTCTAGAACCTTATTGGCTGTGGTCAGAAGGAGAGGTGACTATGAGAGAAGGACCAAAGAGATGTTATGACAGGGTCTCACTATCCAATACTGGCTTTGAAAACAGAGGATAGGTGCCATGAGGCCAAAAACTATGAGTGACTTTTATAAGCTGAATAGTGAAACAATGGATTTTCCCCTGGAGACTACAGAAAGGAATGAAACCCTGTCACACCTTGATATTAGCCTCATAAGATGAGTGCTGGATTTTTGGAGTTATGTAATTGTAAGATAAATTTCTGTTGTTCCAGGCTACTGCATTTGTGGTAATTTGTTATAGCAACAATGCAAATGTAATATACTAGGTTAGGCTGACAACACAAAACATATTTGGAAATGTTTCCTCTTCTACTGTTGTTTGAATTTCAAGAAATTGTGTCAAGTAGGCGTTATTTTGTCTCTAAATGCTGGTAGAAGCCACAGTGAGACAATCAATTCCCAGAGTCACTTTTTGTACAGGTTCTTAATTACAAGTTCAATTTTCTTACGAGATATAATCTGTTGTGATTTTCTATATTTTCTTATATCAGTATTGTCAATGGTAATTTGTTTTTCAAAGTATTTTCATCTCCACATTGTCAAGATGCAAAAAAAGTTCATAATAGTCCTGTATTCATAATTACTCTAGTATCCATATTGAAATCCTGTGTTCTCTTTCATTCCTGATAATGAAAATTTTTATTTTTTTCACTTTTTCCCTTTATCAATTTGGTTAAAGCTTTTGAAATTGTATCTCTTTTTCAAAGAACTTTTTGTTGTTCTTGTTGTATTGAGGATTTTTTTTGTTTATATATTTTCCTTTTGAAAAAAATTTCTACTTTTATTTTAGATTCAGGGGTACACATGCAGGTTTGCTACTTGGGTATATTGTATGATGGTCAGATTTGGGCACAATTGATCCCATCACCCTGGCACAAAGACCTTTTTTTTTGCTTTTTTTGTTTACACAATTCAATTATGATATGTATTCAGTTGATCTTTTTTTTTACCCTAGTTTGCATTATAGAGTTTTTTGGAGTTGATGGTTTAACAGAAAAATCATTTATAACAATTATTTTTACAAAATTTGTTTTACCCCTTTCTCTTCTTCTTCTGAGATTAGAATTATATGCATGCTAGAATACTTAATATTACTCTTTATGTCAGTAATATTCAACTCATATTTTAAATTTTTCTCTCTTTGTTTCAGTCTGTATAATTTTTATTATATCTTCGAGGTCACTGTTCCTGCCTTCTGCCCTGTTCAATTTGTTGTTCAGTCTATCCAATAAATATTTGGTTCCCATTGTGGAACTTTTTAGTTTTTAAATTTTCTGTGTGGATTATAAGTTTTTCTGATATATTAATATTTCATCTCGTGACACATTATAGCCATATTTCTTGTAAATTTTTAAAAATATTTATAATAGTGCCTTTAAAATCCTTGTTTTCTGATCCTGACAACTGAGTCACTTGCGGGTCTGCTTCCACTGATTATATAATTTGTTTCTTATGGGCCACCATTTTTTGTACTTATACCTGCCTCATATATATATTTTTAACCGTATTTTACACCTTGTATATTAGACAATGGACACACACACGTTTGTTTTGTTATGTGTATTATCTAGAACATGCAAGCTCTTTTTATTGTCTAACAATTAGCGTGAGAGAGGCTGATCCTGTAAATTTTTCCTAGGGTTGGGCTGGTCTGGGGAATAGTTTTATTTAGACTGAGTTTATGTGTGATTATGCAAAACCTGAACCTTCTGGATCTTCACTACCTTTTTGATCTTGTCAGTCTTTGAGCTGCAAGGGTATTACATTGCTGTTTTAAATATTTTGGTTTACCTTTGGATTCAATCAGCTCTGGAATCCATGCACTCTGAGAATGTGTAAACTTTTGCTGTTTCTCTCTGCTTTTCAGTCCCTTCACCAGTGCCTCTTTCTTAGTAAAATTCAGGGAAAATTATTTGATGAAGTGGTGTCTCCTTGCATCTGGGGCTTGTACAGTTAAAATCATCTTCTTAATTCACAGCATTGTATAAGAATTAGCTGATTTCTCCTGCTCCCTGCAGTATCTTTCTATCTACAGCCACCTTACACCTTTGTCTGCTCATATTTTGCCTAGGCCCTCCACTTTGGCATTATGTTCTCCTGTGACAGGCTTATTGATGTCTAAAAGTTAGCTTCTCAAAGCCCCTTTGTATGTATCACTGTTTGATAGCCCAATATCAAAAGTATAAATTTTTTCTTCTGGGATTTTTCTTATTTTTACCGTGCAAGTCATTTGCTGTCATTGTATATTTTAACAGGAAGTGGAAAGTCCTCTCATAGTGTCTTTAACATTATACTCCATCAATCACTGTGACTATAATAGTAATAGGACTTTGTACTTAATTTTAAAATGTTTTAGTTAATGCAAAAAGTTACTGTTGATTTCCACAAATTACAAATAGGCTGGGTGTGGTGCCTCATGCCTGTAATCTCTCAGTTTCGGAGGCTGAGGCAGGAGGATGGCTTGAGGCCAGGATTTCAAGACCAGCCTGGGCAACATGGCAAGACCCCACCTCTACAAAAAATTTTTAAAAATTATTTGGGCATGGTGGTATGTTCCTGTAGTCCTTCCTACTCAGGAGGCTTAGGTGGGAGGATCACCTGAGTCCAGGAATTTGAGGCTGCAGTGAGCTATGATTGTGCCACTGCTCTCCGGCTTGGGTGACATAACGATCCTGTCTCAAAAAGAAAAAAAAAAAAAAGACCAAATAAATGTATTTGGATTAAAGTGTTCTTTCCCTGGAAGTCCATGATTCAATCTTTTCAAACTTCATTTACTTACCAGATTTTGAGTTTCTGGTATATGTATGGCATGATGATAGATTTTGAGGACTCAAGAATAAATAATCAAATGAGTCCATGCTTTTCACTAAATATCAAGAGACATTTCAGAAAAATAACTATAAAAAACAATAACATATAAAACTAGAATTTACTGTCAACTGGCTGTGAGAATTGAAGAAGAATTTCTGATTAAGATCCATAGAGCTGAAATGTTAACCTGTGGATTTGATGTGAGGATCACACTTGGCAGTTGATGCTGACACACGCTTTCCTGTCACTCGACACAGAGCAGACTGACTGACGTGAAAGTCTTTGAAATCATTTGTCTGTCGTGCCATGACTTAGCTTTGGTCACCAACACAGACTCTGTGCTATCATGAAAAAAAAAATGCAGCTATCTTCTATTATGTAAAGTTTGCTTTATGGTCAGTATACAATTGCTTTATGAGGTATGATCAGAGAACAATTAATTACTGTAAGCATACTGTTAATTGTCCTGATATTCCATGTAGGTAAAGGCCATACATCAATAGTAGAAGTGGTGCAAAATATCCATGGTGTAGAGCATCTTGGATTTTTTATTTTATTTTATTTTATTTTATTTATTATTATTATTATTATTATTATTTTGAGACAGAGTCTTTTTCTGTTGCCCAGGCTGGAGTGCAGTGGCGCGATCTCGGCTCACTGAAACATCCGCCTCCCAGGTTCAAGCGATTCTCCTGCCTCAGCCTCCCAAGAAGCTGGGATTACAGGCGCGTGCCACCATACCGGGCTAATTTTTGTATTTTTAGTAGAGACGGGGTTTCACCATGTTGGTCAGGCTGGTCTCGAGCTCCAGACCTCAAACCCATCCGCCTTGGCCTCCCAAAGTGCTGGGATTACAGGCGTGAGCCACCACACCCGGCCTGCATCTTGGATTTTTAATTCCAACAGAAAATTACTGTGGTAAAGCCATGGACAGGAAGCAGACTGGTACCAGTCCTGTTGGAGACTTCAGATTTCCAGGTGTTCTATTGGTTGGGAGGGTCAGAAATTGTGATCTTCTATTAGAAGAGCAGTACATCTTAAAGTGACACCCTCCATGGATATTTCAGAATTAGTGGAAAATGGGGACAAAACAACTTGCTTTATTGCTATAGAGCTGTGAATGTGATTCTGTCGGAAGCCAAGTTTAGAATTTCCAGGAAATTAGTTTTAAATAAGCAGTTATATATATTTTTGATCATGACACAAAGCTATGAATAAACTAAAAATGTATTATGCATTGACTTTCTTATTCACTTTTTGGTTTGCACTGGGAACCACTGAATGCTTGGATCTAAGAGTATGTGAGACAAAAAGTCTAATACTTCTTTTGAAACTCTCCAAAAATCCTTATGCCAGGGTTGGTAATCAGAGTCAAATTAATGGTGCGGTGTTGACAATCATCAGATCTATAAATAAGTCTCTTTGTACTAAGAGGAGTAAATAAGACATATAAACCTCTTCTTAGCAACAATCATAATAACTAAAAATACCTAGGCAGGGGAGAAACACGCAAGAACAGAGGGATGGAATATTGTTTTAGTTTGCTAGGGCTTCCGTTAGCAAAATACCACATACTGGGTGGATTAAACAGCAGGAATTAATTTTTCTCACAATTCTGGAGCTAGAAGTCTGAGATCAAGGTGTCGGCAGGGTTGCTTTTCATAAAATCCTCTCTCCTGGGTTTGCAGGTCGCCATCTTCCTCCAATGTCTTTACGTGATCTTACCTCTGTGTGTGTCTGTGTCTTAATCACCCCTTCTTGAAAGGATACCAGCGATAGTGGATTAGCACCCTATTCAAACAACCTCATTTTACCTTAATTACCACTTTCAAGGCCCTATCTACAAATACAGTCACATTCTGAGTTACATGGAGATAAGTACTTCAGCATACCAATTGGAGGGAAATAATTCATCTTATAACAATTATCTCTTAAAACAATTTAATATATAAATCAGAATAGATGCTCTAATATTGACTATTTATAAAAACAACTTTTTATGAAGCCACCTCACACCACTCCTATAAATACACATGATTTTTTGATTCTTTCAAAATTATTTCATATTTAATTTGGTACGATTTTTAGGCAATAATGTAAATCGAGAGAAATTTATCAAGGCCCTTTTGCAAGATATAATGCAGACGGACATTTTTAGGAAATAAATCTGTAATTTATTATTCCCTGTGCAGGAAGCAGAGTTCAACTAGAAGCAAATGAAAGACAATGCAAGATAATCTTACAATATTAATTCACTGTAAGCCAAGAGTGGCTTGATCTGAGATTAGGAGGAATCATATGACATTTGTTGGGTGGCAAGTATGAGGGTGAACACACCTCCAACTTATCCTTCTCCAAGAAATACAGAGCAGACAACCTGAGATGGTACTTATTCACAATTGATGTGTGGCAGATAGAGTAATCAATCAGAAGGAGAGACTGATTGTAGCTAGCTATTAATGAGGGTAGCCATGTGGGAATAGCGTAGCTTCAGCCAGATCTGAAATCTTGCCTTGGATTCTGCTAGCTTGTAAGAAGAACCACAAATATATATACTTTCCTTTTCCTTATCTAAAAATATTTCAAACAGGTCCGGACATCTCTGAGAGAAATCTTAATAGTATTCTGAAATAGGTTCAATCTTATATAAGAATTTGATATGATAAATGTGAAATATTTTACATTAGTGGAGATACAATGGACTTTGGGAGAATGTGCAGAGAGACTGAAAGGAGTAAGATTGCCATTTCAATAAAGAAAAGTATAATTTATTAATATTATAGGAACTTGAGATGTAGTTATGTTGCAGGAGTTCTGGGCATGTACTCAGAGGCTTTAACATTTTCAACGATTTGCCTTGCGTGCTACACATTATCTTCTTAAAGTAACAGGGCTTGTGACTTTGAGTGAGCAGCCATTTACGTGGTGACCTTCACAGTCATCCATTTTTACTTCTTACTATTTTCTCAACAAATTGCATGACATGATAATGCATTATTGTTTTGGGATCACTTAGAGACTTGGATTTACACAATATAAATAAGTAGCATATTATCTTCAGGCGTTTCAGGATTTAAATTACATGACTTAGGGCTCTGAGGAGCCCATTAAGGCCTCTTAAGACCATAGAAAAACTTAATTGGATCAGAAACCCCCCATGTGGGTCATTATTGCTACGTGGATTTCTTCAGAGTCTGAAAAAGTCCTAGGGGAGAAAGACTTTGTTACTATGATAATGTGTAATTTGTAGAATCAGTTGAACCATTTTTCTCTGTGTTTGTCTTGGAAGAGTCAGTGTCTAAATCCAGTTACACGGAGGGATATAACATGGCCAAAATAATGCCTTCAGATTGTTTCCTGGCTAAAAAGTGTCTGTCCGTTCCCCTGTTGTTTAATTTCCTTGAGGTGTTCATGTCACATAAATTTGTAGGAGAAAGGTCCTGCTAGCAATGAAGTGAACCTTAACTCAAAATTAGTATTTAATGTGTGTGTGCATGTATACCAGAATTGGATCAGTAGAATTAATACAAGAAAATATAGATAATTATGCAGACAACTTTCTAGTAGATGAAGATTTTCTAAGTATATCTCAAATATAAGCACCATGAAACATGTTTTTAAAAACATTAAAAAGATTTCTCTTTTTGAACATATCATAAAGTGAATATAACAAAAATGGATTAAAAGATTTATTATAGGCTAGGCGCATTGGCTCATGCCTGTAATCCTAGCACTTTGGGAGGCCGAGGTGGGTGGATAATGAGGTCAGGAGATCCAGACCATCTTGGCCAACATGGTGAAACTCCATCTCTACTAAAATACAAAAAATTAGCCGGGCATGGTGGTTTGTACTTGTAATCCCAGCTACCTGGGAGGCTGAGGCAGGGGAATTTCTTGAACCCGGGAGGCGGAGGTTGCAGTGAGCTGAGATCACACCACTGAACTCCAACCTGGCGACAGAGCAAGACTCCATCTCTAAACAAAAAAAAAGATTTATTATATAAACACCCTTTCAAATCAGTAAGACAAAGCTGAACATCTCCAGTAGCAAACTGAACATAAACACAGGTAGGGTAATTTTCAAAGAGGATACAGAAACCTTCAATATGCATACTAAAAATTACTTAATCTTTCTGCTATCCACAGATGTAAGAATTAAAGTAATAATGTGAAAGTGTCTTTCTCTTACTAACTTGGTAAAGATTTTTGTAAAATGTCTAAAAATCTCATGGCAATTATTTACAGAGAAAACACATTTCTTAATTAAAGTGTGATTTTTGGAAAATTATTTTGGGGCAAAGTTAATTTCTGCCATTAATATTTTGCATATCACTTCACCTTAAAATATAAATATAGTTTGCACAATACTGTCTACCCAGGAGTTGAGACCATGGAGGTTTAAAGAAAGGGAAGAATAAAGTACAGTCAATGATAGAAAGCCTATAATGTGAGAAACTTTGGAGGGATTTGATTAGGATTCCTCTCTTTTAAAGGATACTTTTGAAAAAAACAAAACATTGCAGTTTACAATAGGCACATATGATAATCAACTATTTCAATGGTATTCAGTGTTTTAGAAAAGACCAAAGGCATGGAAGTGGGGATGCTGTTCTTAATGTCTAACAAAATATCTTAATCATCTTCTCTAATCTTCCACTATTTTCCACACAGGCAGAAGCTGCTACTTTGTAAATCAATTCCCCATTCCCAGTTCCCCACTACAGAATATTCCCCCCACATGCACCCAGCACAATGTCTTCCACTCAACAGTGCCTGACAATCTGATTCTTCCTCTCCCATTCCTGCCTTTCCTTTACTTCCACATGGCTCCTCTATTTCCCCTTCACCCTCACTCCCACTCTAGAGCCTCCATTTGTGCTCCCCACAAAAAACTTTGGAAAGTGTAGTCTGGCCTCTTACTCCAATTATTTTTCTTGGGAAAAAATTTGTCCATTTCCCAGATTCTGCACCAAAAAGGAAAGTTCAGGTGCTGACAGCCACAAAGCAAAAACCCTTCCTGAAAGGCAGAAAGAAGATAGAAAGACTTCATACTCATTAATCCTTCCTGTCCTTGCTCTGCTTCAACAGGCACTAGGCACATCTTTTCCTGTGTGCCATGCTGTGGGATTGCATAATCAGGTCAAGGAAGCTACAAGCCCCTACGGGCCATAAAAATGTAATGCTCAACAAACACAATGCTAAAGTCTTCTCATTTCCCAAACCACGTATTCTTCCATTTGATTTGCACATGCTTCTTTCAGGAACATTTTTGCTGAAATTTTTTGGCAGGAAAAGTTAATCTTATGCTCCAAAATGTAAGACAGGAAGTCAGTTGTGGTGCTGTTGGGAAAGGGACATTTGGCCTGAACTGATCTCAATCAATGCCAGTTTTGGGTGATTCTGGAATCAGTTGATGGGGTCAGTTAGAAAAGAGCAAAACTATTTAATACAGATTTACTTGTCTGTTTGTGGGATATCATCTCAAAATTGTAACTGGTGATATGATCTATAGAATTATTTTAAAGATCTTTCAAAAGCAAAACAGTACATGCTTCTGTTGTAGAGATCAAGTGTAAACACAAACAAGATACACAAAAATCAAAACAAGTGATCTAATATTTCACAAATGGGTACTTAATCCTTGGGATGACATTCCCAGTGATGACATAATACATGCTGTCAATGCTATTTCTCCAACAACTTGGGTACAAATAAAGATGATGTGTTCTGCAAAAAAAAAAAAAAAAAAAAAAAAAAAAAGAAAGGGAAGAATAAAGAGAAAAAGAAATAGCCCTTTCTTCTGAGCATAGTTAGCTCATGGAAAACCTGAACAGTTAACCATAAATAAAATATTTTTTTGAGAAAAACAAAACATGTGGGCGTGTGTGGTTTGTGTGGGGTGTGTGTGTGCACGCGCATGCAGGCATGTTTCCTATGTTTCTAGGTCACATTTAATTTTGAAATTCGCAATTGCCAAAATCTTTTTTCTTTTTTTTTGAGATGGAGTCTTGCTCTGTCGCCCAGGCTGGAGTTGTAGTGGTGCGATCCTGGCTCACTGCAACCTTGCCTCCTGGTTCAAGCAATTCTCTTGCCTCAACCTCCCGAGTAGCTAGGACTACAAGTGTGCACCACCGCACCTGGCTAATTTTTGTATTTTTAGTAGAGACGGGGTTTCACCATGTTGGCCAGACTGGTCTTGAACTCCTTGGCCAGATGATCTTGAACTCCTGGCCACCTGGGCCTCCCAAAGTGCTGGGATTACAGGTGTGAGCCACCGCGCCCGGCCAGACAATTGCCAAAATCTTAATTGCCCTCATGTCCATTCCCTAGGAATGTTAATTTGAATGGTTCAATACTCTGACATGCTTTAAGTTTCCAAATGTCAGCTGTTTAGCGCAATTTATCTCAATCAGGAGAAAAACAGGGTGCTGTAATTAATTCAGTACCCTGACTGGAGCCTGTTCTTATTTCAATATTTAACTTAAAAATGTGGTTATTATCTAATGATCTCCTAGGTAATAGAATTCATTCATAATAAACAAGTAAGAGTTGTCTCATGGTATGAGAAACTGCTCTTGAAGGAGGATAATGGAATTTAAAAAGGTCATGAAATCTGGTCAGCACTTGACATGCTTAGATGCAGTGCCGATCTCCTCAAACATACTTTTAGCTAATCTCAGATGCAGAGTCTGGGGTAGTGAGGGTGATGGGGGTAATATGGAGGAGACCTTGCCTGCCTGCCTGCCTGTCTGTCTATCCACCTACCAACCTATCAATCTTCTATCATCTCTCTGTTCATTGTATTCTACTCTTACTCAATTTTGAAAAATTATGCATTTTTTATAGTTGAGTAAGCAGAGTACCTTTGGAAGCACAGGAAATAAGGAAAGGGAAGTGAGCGCTAATAAATCGATGGGGAACCAGAAAGATGAGTGTCTGAAATTTGGGATATGTCTTTACTGAAAAACCCTATAAATCAATGCAAGCTAAGTGCCTTTCAAACATGCTTCACCATAGTGGAATTCAATACTGAGTTAAAGGGTAATTCTCATAGTTTACACTGATTGACACTTATTTAATTGACTTCCATTTCATTAGCTGTTTGTCACATAAGATGCATTACTCTGCAATGTCATTGACATTTAAACATTTGTTAAAATATTATCAATAAGTTGTTGAGAAAACTTGCTATATTCTTTCAAAAGTTTAATTTTAGATATTTTAATACTTCCTAGTTATAATTGTGTATACTATGTAGAAAGAATAAATTTTACTTTGAAAGAAGTATTTATAAAAGATAATATAATCTAGATATCTCTAGAATTCAAGAATTCAAAGATCAAATTAATTTTAAAGTCTATCTAAAAGTTTCTGGAGAAGACAGGATAACATACCCATTCATTATGAAAAATCAACAAAATGTGTTATAAACTAGTAAAAATAACTGAATATATATTTAAATCCCTATCTAAAATAATCTTTCACAGGTGTTCCATTACAGGAATTGGTAATTTGCAATCTACATAATAATGAGACTAAGTACTTAAGGAAATAAATTTACCTGGATTGAAGATAAAGTACATTTTCTGAAACACATTTTATTCCTCAAAGAACTTAAAGTTACATTGTTAAAATGCTTAGCTATACATAGGTGAAGAATCAGCAGAAGACTCATAATTAATCTAAATCATTTGGTGAGTGAATGCTTTTCTGATTTCAAATCAGCTTTCTTATTTCCACTCCAACTTCTCTGAATTCTAGAACCTGCCAGAATCTCTGTGATGTTCAGAGGAAGAGCTGGCACAATAATTTTTACTTCAAGTATGATTTAAATGGTGTGCAATCCTGCTGAGAACAAAAAGGAACTGTGAGACTCCTGTAGAGCACTGGACGAGATGCCAGAATGTGATATCCTCACACAGCTTTGTGTGTGTGTGTGTGTGTATGTGTGTGTGCATGCATGTGTATGTGTGTTTGAGAGTGAGAGAGACAGAAACAGAGAGACAGAGCCTGTGTGTGTGCACATGCACACACGACTGTTTGCAGTGTAGATAGCTCTTCGATCTATGTAACCAAGAACCTATCTCTCAGAATATAGAACTAACATACTTTGAGTATCATCTTTACTTATTTGTACCTCAGTTTAGGTCTGTATGAAATAAGAATTCATCAAGGGTTGTGGTTTGAGATTTTTCTCCTTCAATTTTCATCTTCTTTCATAAAAGTCTGCTTCAAAATAGATACGTGAATTATCTCTCTGATGTTGGAAGAAAGTCAAATGTATTCTAACCCTTACCTGTGTAAGTGCTTTTCACACATGGAAAAAAAGAAAAAAAAAAAAACTCCATTATAATAAAATATGCATTTTTTTTCCTTAGTCTAAATTTGAGATCCATTGAAGTATAAAAGGATCATTGGTTGGCCATGAGTCCAGTAAATTATGAAAAGAGCTTGATCTAAGCCTTATCTTTCCCTAGCTTGGTATAATTATGCCACTGTATAAGATTATTTAGGTTGTGTGGAAACCCATTAATTCACAGCTTATAAGAGCATGTACATATAGGAAGAAAAAGAAATTTTATTTTCATAATCTCTAATAATTAGTAGGATCCTTATTTGCCCTTTCATCAGGCCAAAATTCATAGTGGACACTACTTACAAGGAACAAGTGATATGAAATCATAATTAAATAAGATTGTTTTCAAGGTTAATTAATCCTAGTGAGGTTAAGTTCAATAATACTAAAATAAGTCCAGTAATACTAATGAGGCTAAGTTCAATAAAATCGAAGTAGACAATGAACGAAATCCAAAGATTAATACTAGAAGAAAATAAGAATTTTGAGATCTGTTAAAGTATCTCAATTTGCATCAGGATATAAGAATAAATATTGCCACTTATATGCATAGGTCTCTAAGGTGAGAATGTCATGAATTGAGTTAGAATTTGATGATGTTTAAATTTCAGTAACAAAGGGCCGGGCGCGGCGGCTCACGCCTGTAATCCCAGCACTTTGGGAGGCCGAGGCGGGCAGATCACGAGGTCAGGAGATTGAGACCATCCTGGCCAACACGGTGAAACCCCGTCTCTACTAAAATACAAAAAAAAAAAAAAAAAAAAAAAAAAAAAGAAAACCAGGCATGGTGGTGTGTGCCTGTAGTCCCAGCTACGCGGGAGGCTGAGGCAGGGGAAATCACTTGAACCCGGGAGGCGGAGGTTGCAGTGAGCCAAGAGCCAAGATCACGCCACTGCACTCCAGCCTGGCGACTGAGCGTGATTCTGTCTCAAAAAAAAAAAAAAAAAAAAAAAAAAATCAGTAAGAAATATGTGCAGGTAAAGAAAGGTAATTTTAATGTTGTTGGGAGGCTAGAACATGCATCTCATAAGCACCAGGTGTATTGACTTTCACAAGCGTTGAAAGAGATGTTTTTCAGTTGTATCTTAATCATGTGGTATACTTCCTGAATTATATGTAGTATATAGGTAGATTCCACATATGTAGTGGTAGTACAACTTTTAATAGTCTTATTTCAAAAACAAACAAAAAACATTGTTTTCTGTCTTTCGATTTAGGATGTATTTCTTTTTAAATTTTTATTTCTACATTTTAATTGATACATTGTAATTGTATATCATTATGGGGTACCATTTGATGTTTTGAAACATATCTGTGTTGTATGATGACCCAATCAAAGTAGTTAGTGTATCACTTTATGCACTTGTCATTTCCTTGTAGAGAACCTTAAAAAGCCTGTATTGTAGCTGTTTTGTAGTATATAATATTTTCCTGTTAACCATAGAGACCCTCCTTAAAAAAATAGTATATCTTTTTTAAAGCAAGACTTATGATTGGACTCATCAGGGTTTTATGAGTTTTCAAGAAGCCTTTCTAATCCAAGTCAATTCCTCTTGTATTAGTTCCAATAATTGTTTTCTTTCTACTTCTACTACTATTTGTGCAGAGTGTGAATCATGCTGTATATTATTCCTCTAGGGTCCCCTAGCGAATCATACTTCTTACCTAGTAAGAAGTATGGTCCCCAGTGAGAGCTTGATAAGGGCTTGTGCATTTGTCTTGACCTCTTAAAATAGTGCCCTACAACTATTCAAAGAAGATTAATCTAACCAGCCCACTGAAAGATGAGAGACTGCGAGGAAAACTGAGGTGCTCCATTCACTAGCCAGAATTAAGAACAGTTGCAGCTGTGGGTATGATCGTAGGTGAGAAGAGCAAAAGAGCTCTCCAGTGAAGCCCAGCCTTAAATGCTGATTTTCAGAACTGTGAGTAAATAAATGTTACTTGAAGTCAGTACATTTTGGCGTGGTTTGTTGCACCTCAGTTGATAACTGATGCACACCCCTGTTTCGTAACATGATTTTTATCTTTCACATCCACCTCTCTAGCTGAATAGCCAGACTATACAGCTAATTTCCTTTCTTGACTCATAACGGAAGAAGATTGAAGGCGCATATGTTGGGAAAGAGAAGATTTAGTGTAAGTAGCAGCATGACAAAAAGCCTGAGTCATACACAACCTCATAAGATCAGGGACATTTAAAAATCAGGTAATGAGCTGTAGGGGATATTAATCTAAAAATCCATGGAGCACAAATCCTGTGTAGCTCTTACTACATCACCTTAGTTAAAAAGATTTTTACTTAATCTCTAAGTGAATAAATTATATTTAAATCCCCCTTTCCTCTCACTTAAATATTTCTATTCAGTAGACTCACACCGTGGATTCTTAGCTGATTTCTGCTTCATGCTTCAAATTTAATTTGTTATTTACATGTGCAAATTGGTTTTGCATAGATATGGTAAGCCATATCTGCTTATGAAATGTTAAATTTTAAGAAATAGGCATCTTAAAACATTCTCTCATATTAAGTTTTCATCTTCCGTCATTCTGCATATTGCAGACATCTGATCAGACTAAATCAGCAATAATTAGGCAGTATTTACAATTAAGCCAAGCTTAGAACATTGGCATATGGCTTGTGAGATCAGGTGGCTTTGTGTAGGATTTTTTGCTTGGTTTATTAAGAAGTAATCGTGTATACCTATTCGTATCACAAAACCTCTGAAAATATTTTAAACCATCAAAAGAAATTATTGCTGCTTTTTCTTTCCCATCTTTTTATATTTCCCTTAAAGCTCCTGATAGAAATGAGTAGAAAGAAACTATTTTATTTAGAATAAAAAAACTCTAGGTTAGTATTTGAGACTCTGGCCTAATTTTCTCTAATAGCTTATCACTCGGTCATTGTGGCTTTGTGATTTGGAAGGAAAACTATCTAGAATAGGTGTCAGCATGCATTAATGCAGACATATTCATTCATTCAACAAATTATTTTGAATGTCTACTACATCTCAGCATTGTTCTATGTCCCACAGATACAGCATTGAACAAAATGGGCTAAGCCTCTAATCTTTTGGAGCTTATATTCTAATTGTTGTTTTAATACCTCCAACCCAAATTTAGTTGGATGTTGAGACTGATGATCCCTATATACACACCAAGAGGATATAAAAGATTACTCATGTATCGAGGCTTTCAGGGTGGAGTGCAGGATAGGCATCCAAGCTGATAGAAAATAACTTAAACATAGAGAAGAAAACATCATTAGTATTTACTGTGGTTGGGGGTGTGTCTGGGGTGAGGGTTTCCCCTGCAACAGTCTGTTGGTTACTCAGTTTCGACTT